>NC_000023.11:35896407-36046764 GCF_000001405.40 Homo sapiens
GTGTAACTCAAGGTTCCTGCTGTTCGTGACTTGTACCATCCAATGGCTTCTCCACCATTAGCTGAATTTATCATCCACTCACTACTTCATACTCAGTGCCCTGCTGGGTAGCAGTCTAATGTCAGACCATATAATGAAATACCACTCAGCAATAAAAAGGTATGAGCTACTAATCCATGTAGCAACATGGATGAATTGCAAATGAATTATGCCGAAATACACCACTCAAAAGGCTACATACTGCATAATTCCATTTATGTGAATTTAAAGATAAAACAATATTTTAGGGGCAGAAAGCAGACCAATGCTTGGGGTTGGTGATAAGGGGAGAGTATGAGGTAATATTTTGGGGTGATAGAAGTGCTCTATATCTTGAGTGTGATGGTGGTCACATGACTATATGCATTTGTCAAAACTCATAAAACTGTACACCAGAAAGAGCAAATTTTATTGTATGTACTTTATTTTTATTTATTTATTTATTTATTGAGACAAAGTTTCACTCTAGCTGCCCAGGCTGGAATGCAATGGTGCGATCTTGGCTCAGTGCAACCTCTGCCTCCTGAGTTCAAGTGATTCTCCTGCCTCAGCTTCCCAAGTAGCTGGGATTACAGGTGCCTACCACCACCCCCGGCTAATTTTTATACTTTTACAAAATACAAATGAGGGGTTTGAAATATTTGTCATTCTTTCTTATTTATTTCCTCTTACTTTTAGTCTCTAACCAAGGAACTATGGAGAGACGGGGTTTCACCATGTTGGCCAGGCTGGTCTCGAACTCTTGACCTCAGGTGATCTACCTGCCTTGGCCTCCCAAAGTGCTGGGAGCCACCGCACCCAGTCTACTTTGTTTTTAAACAAGTAAATATAAAAACTAATTTACGGTTTTTATGCACGTAGCTTCAAGATCCAAAACAAACTTACAACAGAGTTACCTGGGAATCACAGAAAGAAAAATGAAATTTAGATCTAGAAAACTTGCTGTCAATAACCCCTCATTTTATTTAAAAAATTCAGAAGTTGAGCCTTGATGGAAACAAAAATACTTGCAAAAGGGGGCAGAAAATATTTAGTCTTGATCCTTTGAGGCCCACATCAAAATATAAGGAGAAGATGACAGCTGCTAGGCACTTCCCAGAACCCACCATTTGATTATCTCAAGGGGCCAGAGAAATAAAAAAGAGAAATAAATTCTTGAAAAATGTCCAGGAATCTCTGAATTAGATTACAGGTGAATATGAGACCTCAAGGGAATATTCTATATATTGAGAGTAAACAGGTTATTCTTTCTAATATTCTTCCATTTTTCAGAAAGTTTAATCCCTGACAAATAGTTTATTTGAAATATGAGATAGTCAACCCACAAACTCCAACTTGAAATTTTCTCCCTCACTCTAAGCTTCTCAGAGAAGAATTAATAATTGAGGAATCGGGCAGTTTGAGTGGAGTCTATTACTTTGCCTTGATATTGGGGACAAAATGAAGGTTTCCCTTCTTTCCCTTTCTCTGACTCCTATGTGAAGACATCACAGGAATAGGGAGAATATTTCTCAACTCTGGAAATTAAGTATCATTTAATTGACCCGCTTTTCTAATAACTGATTCAATTTTCTTATCTACATGCTATTTTTTTTAAATATAAACATAGTGTTAGATTACTTATTTTAAAAATAAGTTTGAAAAGATTAACTCTTCCTCCATAGTTCCTTGGTTAGAGACTAAAAGTAAGATGAGATAAATAAGAAAGAATGACAAATATTTCAAGAGTTGGAAAAAAGAGAGTAATAGTACTATTTGGCCTCTAAGATCTTAACAGCAAACACTGATGGTTTTAGAGGTACATATACCTCATGCTGTGCTGTGTTAATAAATACAATTTTTAAATGAAATGAAAAGCTAAATAGTATAAAAGTTATACTTTCAACTCCAGTCATGCATATTGTGTAACTGGGGCTGAACACTTGAGTTTTCATTATTTAACATGAACTGGTCATATCACTGCCAATTCCTTTTTTTTTTAGAGATGGAGTCTTGCTCTGTCACCAGGCTGGAGTGCAGTGGTGCAATCTTGGCTCACTGCAACCTCCGCCTCCTTGATTCAAGAGATTTCCCCTGCCTCAGCCTCCTGATTAGCTGGGACTACAGGCACACGCCGCCACGCCTGGCTAATTTTTTGTATTTTAGTAGAGACAGGGTTTCACCATGTTAGCCAGGATGGTCTTGATCTCCTGACCTCGTGATCTGCCCGCCTCAGCCTCCCAAAGTGCTGGGATTACAGGCGTGAGCCACTGCGCCCAGCCCAATTCCTTCTTTTGTCATAGAATTTTTTTGGAAATAGTTTGTTTTCATGACAGAATTATGAAAGCATAAAATATCAGAGCACTTGTTACTGGTTACTGAGCACTGGAAATATGGCTATTGTGATACAAGAGATACATATTTTATTTCATTTAATTTCAATTGATTTAAGCTTTAAATAGCCACATGTGGCTAGTGGCTACCTTATAAGGAAACATAATTCGATACACTGGCCAAGAAGACATGTGTATGGCACACAAGAAAAGGAGAGGTTTGAAGGACAAACAAATTAGTCCAGTCAAGGATGTCAAATATAACTGCAATTGTCTGCTAGCACTTTTGATTATATTGAAACCTTATGCGGCATGGGAAAGGGTTACCACTAAAAATAAATCAGGGCCTTTACTGCTGATTTCACGTTTTCTTGCTACATAGGTCAACCAAGAGAGTACCAACTGGCTGGCTATTTACATTTCCACAAGAAAACAACAGACAACTTACAGCTGCCTATAAATATAGTGGAGGACACTTGAAATGGGAAACCAGATAATCAATCTGCCTCACTGGCACAAATTTACTGAGCGAATTCTCGCCGGGTGTGCTGTCTATGCAGGATTTTATATATTCTTCACACTGTCTGGCTGAATTATATTCATATAAATGAAATAAATCTCCCTTTGAATCCACAACAAAAGTGGAATGGTTTAGAATTTTGAGCAAAGTGGTACACTCACCATCAGGAATATTGTGCCCAAACACGAGATATTATGTTTTGTTATATTCTTAGACCTCATATACATTTTCCTCAGATATCCGAATGGTAACACTTTCAGGAGTAGAGGATGCTATATACATTTTATTTATTTGTATTTATTCAAAATTTTATTTAAATTCTGTATTAATATAATTGTGGATTCACATGCAGTTATAAGAAATAATACAGAAATCTCTTGTGTAAAATTTTTCAAGCTTCCCTTAATGGTAACATTTTGCAAAACTATCATATAATATCATATCCAGGCTGTTAACATTTATATAATACCCCTATATTATTCAGATTGCCAGTTTTACCAGTACGTGTGTGTGTGTGTCTGTGTATGTGTGTATTTAGTTCTATACAATTTTGACACCTTTAAAGTTTCATGTATCCTCAACCAAAGTCAAGATAACACTTCCGACACCACAAGGATACTTTATCCTGCTCTTTTCTAATCATACCCAGCTTGCTTCTGCCTTACCCTATACTTAACTACTGACATGTCCTCCATTTCTAAAATGTTATCATTTTAAAGATTACAGAAAGGAATCATGCATTATGTCATCTTTTGGGAATAGATTTTTTCTCACTCAACTATTGATACACCCAAGTTTCTGCATGTATCAGTAGTTAATTCCTCTTCATTACTGAGTAGTGTTCCATTGTATAGATATATGACAGTTTGTTTAACAATTTACCGGTTGAAGAGCACTCAACTGTTTTCAGGTTTTATTATTATGAATAAAGCTGCAACGAATATTCAGTTTTGTGTGAACATAGTTTGCGTCTCTCTAGGATGAATGTGTGTGACTGCATTTGGTGGACTGTATGGTAGTTATATTTTTACTTTAATAAGAAAATGTAAAACTGCTTTCCAGAGTGGCTATAAATGTTACATTCCTACTAGAAATTTCTGAATGATCCAGTGGCTCCACATTCTCATCAGCATTTGATGTTATCCTTATTATTTATATTAGAAGTTGACAATTTAGTGGTCTTTCACCAAGCAGCTCTCGGTTACATACAAACACTTCCCTCATCACCAAGTTCCCCGTATAGTTTAGCATAATTTTGTTTGGATTAACATACAACTGTTTTTTAGTTTTGATTTTAATTTTTGAGGGGAGGTAATGGGCATATATATTTATGGGGTACATGTGATATTTTGATACAGGCATGTAATACATAATAATCACATTATGTGAAGTGGGATATCTATCCCTTCAAGCATTTGTCTTTTGTGTTATGAACAATTCAATTATACTGTTTTAGTTATTTTAAAATATAAAATTAAATTATTTTTGACTATAGTGGCCCTGTTGTGCTATCAGAGACTAGATCTTATACATTATTCCTAACTATGTTTTCTTTTTGTACACATTAACCATCTCAACCTCCGCCCCACCCTCCCACTACCCTTCCCAGACTCTGGTGACCAACCCTCTACTCTCTACCTCCATGATTTCAACTGTTTTGATTTTTAGATGCTACAAATAAATGAAAACATGAGAAGTTTGTCTTTTTGTACATGGTTTCTTTGATTTAGCATAATGACCTCCAGTTTCATCCATGTTATTGCAAATAACAGGACCTCATTCTTTTTATGGCTGAATAGTAATCCATTCTGTATAAGTACCACACTTTCTTTATCTGTTCATCTGTTGATGGACAGTTAGCTTGCTTCCAAATCTTGGCTGTTGTGAACAGTGCTGCAACAAATGTGGGAGTGCAGATACCTCTTTGATATACAGATTTCCTTTCTTTTGGGTATATAGACATCTACAGAACTCTCCACCCCAAATCAACAGAATATATATTCTTCTCAGTGGCACTTGGCACTTATTCTAAAATCAACCACATAATTGTAAGTAAAATACTCCTCAGCAAATGCAAAGGAACTGAAATCATAAGAAATAGTCTCTCAGACCACAGTGCAATCAACTTAGAACTCAGGATTAAGAAACTTGCTCAAAACCACACAACTACATGGAAACTGAACAACCTGCTCCTGAATTACTCCTGGGTAAATAACGAAATTAAGGCAGAAATAAAGAAGTTCTTTGAAACCAATGGGAACAAAGAGACAATGTACCAGAATTTCTGGGACACAGCTAAAGCAGTATTAAGAGGGAATTTATAGCACTAAATGCCCACAGGACAAAGTGGGAAAGATCTAAAATCAACACCCTAACATCATAATTAAAAGAACTAGAGAAGCAAGAGCAAACAAATTCAAAAGCTAGCAGAAGACAATAAATAACTAAGATTAGAGCAGAACTGAAGGACATAGAGACACAAAAAACCCTTTAAAAAAGCAATGAATCCAGGAGCTGGTTCTTTGAATAAATTAACAAAACAGATAGACCACTAGCTAGACTAATAGAGAAGAAAAGAGAGAAGACTCAAATAGACACAATAAGAAATGATAAAAGAGATATCACCACTGATCCTACGGAAATACAAACTACCATCAGAGAATACTAAAAACACCTCTACACAAATAAACGAGAAAATCTAGAAGAAATGGATAAATTCCTGGACACATACAGCCTTCCAAGACTAAACCAGGAAGAAGTTGAATCCATGAATAGACCAATAACAAGTTCTGAAATTGAGACAGTAATTAGTAGCCTACCAACTAAAAAATACCCAGGACCAGATAGCTTCACAGCCAAATTTTACCAGAGGTACAAAGAGGAGCTAGTACCATTCCTTCTGAAACTATCCTAAACAACTGAAAAAGAGGGACTGCTCCCTAACTCATTTTATGAGGCCAGCATCATCCTGATACCAAAACCTGGCAGAGACACAACAAAATAAGAAAACTTCAGGCCAAATATCCCTGATGAACATCAATGCAAAAATCATCAATAAAATACTGGCAAACTGAATCCAGCAGCACATCAAAAATCTTATCCACCATGATCAAGTCAGCTTCATTCCTGGGATGCAAGGTTGGTTCAGCATATGCAAATCAATAAACGTAATCCATCACATAAACAGAACCAATGACAAAAAACACATGATTATCTCAATAGACGCAGAAAAGGCTTGCAATAAAATTCAACATCCCTTCATGTTAAAAACTCTCAATAAACTAGGTATTGATGGAACGTATCTCAAAATAATAAGAGCTATTTATGACAAACCCATAGCCAATATTATACTCAATTGACAAAAGCTGGAAGCATTCCCTTTGAAAACTGGCACAAGACAAAGGATGCCCTCTCTCATCACTCCTATTCAACATAGTACTGGAAGTTCTGGCCAGGGCAATCAGGCAAGAGAAAGAAATAAAGTGTATTCAAATAGGAAGAGAGGAAGTCAAATTGTCTCTATTTGCAGATGACATGATTCTATATTTAGAAAACCGTAGCATTTCAGCCCCAAAACTTCTTAAGCTGATAAGCAACTTCAGCAAAGTCTCAGGATACAAAACTGGTGATTTTGCCCGTTATTCAATGCAGTTTCTTCATAGTGTCATCGGTCTTTATTATCTTGGTGTGTTTTTGCAGTGACTGGTACTGGTTTTTCCCTTCCATATTTAGTGCTTCCTTCAGGAGCTCCTGTAAGGCAGGCCTGGTGGTGACAAAATCCTTCAGCATTTGCTTGTCTGGAAACGATTTTATTTCTCCTTTGCTTATGAAGCTTAGTTTGGCTGGATATGAAATTCTGGGTTAAAAATTCTTTTCTTTAAGAATGTTGAATATTGGCCTCCACTCTCTTCTGGCTTGCAGGGTTTCTGCTGAGAAATCTGCTGTTAGTCTGATGGGCTTGCCTTTGTCAGTGACCTGATCTTTTTCTCTGGTTGCCCTTAACATTTTTTCCTTCATTTCAACCTTGGATAATCTGATGATTATGTGTCTTGGGGTTGATCTTCTCATGGAGTATCTTAGTGGTGTTCTCTGTATTTACTGAATTTGAATGTTGACCTGTCTTGCTAGGTTGGGTAAGTTCTCCTGGATAATATCCTGAAGTGTGTTTTCCAACTTGGTTCCATTCTCCCCATCACTTTCAGGTACACCAATCAATTGTAGGTTTGGTCTTTTTACATAGTCCCTTATTTCTTGGAGGCTTTGTTCGTTCCTTTTCATTCTTTTTTCTCTTCTCTTGTCTGCACACCTTACTTCAGCAAGGTGGTCTACAATTTCTGATATCCTTTCTTCCACTTGATCAATTAAGCTATTGATACTTTTGTATGCTTCACGAAATTCTTGTGCTGTGCTTTCCAGTTCTATCGGGTCATTTATGTTCCTCTTTAAACTGGTTATTCTAGTTAGAAGTTCCTGTAACCTTTTATCAAGTTTCTTAACTTCCTTGCATTGGGTTAGACCATGCTCCTTTAGCTCAGAGGAGTTTGTTATTACCCACCTTCTGAAGCCTATATCTGTCAATTAGTCAATCTGATTCTCCGTCTAGTTTTGCACCATTGCTGGAGAGGTGTTGCGACCATTTGGAGTAGAAGAGGCATTTTGGCTTTTGGAATTTTCAGCGTTTTTGCACTGGTTTTTCCTCATCTTTGTGGATTTATCTACCTTTGATCTTTGAGGCTGATGACCTTTGGATGGGGTATTTGTGTGTGGGGTGTCCTTTTTGTTGATGTTGTTGTTGTCCTTGCTTTCTGTTTGTTTTTTTTTTTTTCTAACCGTCAGGCCCCTCTTCTGCAGGTCTACTGCAGTTTGCCAAAGGTTCAGTCCACACCTTGTTCACCTGGGTATCACCAGTGGAGGTTGCAGAACAGCAAAGATTGCTGCCTGCTCCTTCCTCTGGAGGCTTTGTCCCAGAGGGTCACTAGCCTGATGCCAGGTGGAGCTCTCCTGTATGAGGTGTCTGTCGACCCCTGTTGGGAGGTCTCTCCCAGTCAGGAGGCATGGGGGTCAGGGACCCATTTGAGGATGCCATCTGTACCTTAGCAGAGCTGGTGCACTTTGCTGGGAGAATCCGCCTTGTCGAGATCTGCTGCTCTCTTCAGAACTGGCCAGCAGGAAAGATTAAGTCTGCTGAAGCTGTGACTGCAGCCGCCCCTCCCCCGAGGTGCTCCATCCCAGGGAGATGAGAATTTTATCTGTAAGCCCCTGACTGGGGCTGCTGCATTTCCTGTAGAGATGTCCTGCCCAGTGAGGAGGAATCTAGAGAAGCAGTCTGGCCACAGCCACTTTTCTGTGCTGTGGTGAATTCCGTCCAGTCCAAACCTCTCAGTCTCCTTAGCACTGTCAGGGGAAAACCACCAACTAAAGCCTCAGTAATGGCAGATGCCCTTCCCCCCAACCAAGCTTGATCGTCCCAGGTTGACTCCAGACTGCTGTGCTGGCAGTGAGAATTTCAAGCCAGTGGTTCTTAGCTTGCTGGGCTCTGTGGGAGTGGGATTTGCTGAGCAAGACCGCTTGGCTCCCTGACTTCAGCCGCCTTTCCAAGGGAGTGGATGGTTCTCCTGTCTCGCTGGAGTTCCAGGCACCACCAGAGTATGAAAAAACTCCTGCAGCTAGCTCGGTGCCTGCCCAAACAGCTGCCCAGTTTTGTGATGGAAACCCAGGGCCCTGGTGGTATAGGCTCACAGGGGAATCTCCTGATCTGCAGAATGCAAAAATCCATGGGAAAAGAGTAGTACCTGGGACAGGTAACACAGTCCCTCACTGCTTTCCTTGGCTGGGGGAGGGAGGTCCCCCAGTTCCTTGCACTTCCTGGGTAAAATGATGCCCCATCCTGCTTCTGCTCACTCTCCATGGGTTGCACCCACTGCCTGACCAGTCCTGATGAAATGAACTGGGTGCTTCAGTTGGAAATGCAGAAATCACTTGCCTTCTGCATTGGTCTTGCTGGGAGGTGCGGACCAGAGCTGTTTCTATTCAGCCATCTTGACCAATACTATTGAACACCTTTTCATATGCCTGTTTGCCATTTGTATGTCTTCTTTTGAGAAATGTCTATTCAAATATTTTGCCTATTTTTAAATCAGGTTATTATACATTTTTTTCTTATAGAGTTGTTTGAGCACCTTATATACTCTGGTTATTAATCCCATGTCAGATTGGTAGTTTGCAAATATTTTCTCCCATGCTGTGTGTTGTATCTTCCCTTTGTGGATTGTTCCCTTTGCTGTACATAAGCTTTTTAACTTAATGTGATCCTATTTGTCAATTTTTGCCTTGCTTGCTGTGCTTGTGGGGTACTTACTACTCAAAAAGTTTTTGCCTAGAACAGTACCCTGGAGAGTTTTCTCAATGCTTTCTAATAGCAGTTTTATAGTTTGAAGTCTTAAATTTAAGTTTTTAACCCATATTGATTTGATTTTTGTTTATGACGAGATATATGGGGCTGGTTTCCTTCTGCATGTGGATATTCAGCTTTCCCAGCACCATTTATTAAAGAGATTGTCTTTTTCCCAGTGTATGTTCTTGGCACCTTGTCAAAAATGAGTTCACTGTAGGTATGTAGATTTGTTTCTGGGTTCTCTCTTCTGTTCCATTGGTCTATGTGTCTGTCTTTATGCCAGTACCATGCTGTTTTGGTTACTATAGTTCTGTAGTATAATCTGAAGTAAGGTAATGTGGTTTGTTCTGTTTTCTTCTTTTTGCTTAGGATAGTTTTGGCTACTATGGGTCTTTTGTGGTTTCACATAATTTTTAGTATTTTTTCTGTTTCTGTGAAGAATGTCATTGGTATATTGATAGGGATTACATTGAATCTGCAGATTGTTTTGGGTCTTATGGACATTTTAATAATATTGATTCTTCCAATCCAGGAACATGGAATATTTTTTCACTTTTTGGTATCTTCTTTAATTTTTTTTTATCAGTGCTTTATAGTTTTCATTATAGAGATCTTTTACTTCTTTGGTTAATTCCTAGATATTTAATTTTATTTGTAAATGGGATTACTTTTTAAATTTCTTTCTCAGATTGTTCAATGTTGGCATATAAAATGCTACTGACTTTTGTATGTTATTTTGTATTCTGCAAACTTACTGAATTTATCAGTTCTAATAGTATTTTTTTGTGGGTTTTAGGTTTTTTCAAATATGAGATCATATCATTTGTAAACAAGGATAATTTTACTTCTTCTTTTCCACTTTTGATGCCCTTTATTTCTTTCTCTTGTGTGATTGCTCTAGCCAGGATTTCCACTACTATATTGAATAACACTGGTGAAAGTGGACATCCTTGTTGTTTTCTAGATCTTAGAGGATATGCTTCAAATCCATTTATTTATGCTCTGATCTTGATTATTTCTTTCCTTCTATGAATTTTAGGTTTGGTTTGCACTTGCTTTTCTAGTTCTTTCAGATGCATCATTAGGTGGTTTATTTGAAGTTTTTCTTCTTTTTTGAAGTAGGCATTTGTAACTATAAAATTCCCTCTTAGTACTGCTTTCCCTGTATCCTATAGGTTTTGTTATGTTGTGTTTCCATTTTCATTTGTTTCAAGAAATTTTTCAATTTCTTTCTTAATTTCTTCATTGATCCACTGATCATTCAGGAGGATATTATTTAATTTCCATGTATTTGTACAGATTCCAAAATTCCTCTTGTTATTGATTTGTAGTTTTCTTCTATTGTGGTCAAAGTAGATGCTTGATATTATTTTAATTATTTTGAATGTTTTAAGACTTGTTTGGTGACCTAACATATGGTCTGTCCTTGAGAATGATTCATGTGCTGAGCAAAATAATGTGTATTCTGTAGCCATTGGATAAAATGTTCTGCAAATATCTATTAGGTCCTTTTGTTATATAGTGTAGATGAAGTTTGATGTTTCTTTGTTGATTTTTCTTTCTGGAAGATCTATCCAATGCTGAAAGTGGGGTTTTGAAGTCTCCAGCAATTACTGTATTGGGGGCTATTTCTCTCCTTAGCTCTAATAATGTTTCCTTTTTCTATGTGAGTGCTCCAGTGTCGGGTGCATATAAATATATCCGTAATTATTATAGCCTCTTGCTGAATTGACCCCTTTATCATTATACAGTGACCTTCTTTGTCTTTTCTTATAGTTTTTGTCTTGAAATCTATTTTGTCTTATATGAGAATTGCTACTCCTGCTCTTTTCTGGTTTCCACTTACATGGAGAATCTTTTTCCATCCCTTTATTTTCAGTCTATTTGTATCTTTATAGGTGAAGTGTGTTGCTTGTAGAGAACATATCATTGGGTGTTGTATTTCTATCCATTCAGCCACTTAAAATCTTTTGCTTGGAAAGTTTAGTTTATTTACATTGAATGTTTTATTGATAAGTAAGCTTATTCCTGCCATTTTGTTATTTTTCTGATTGTTTGTGGTCTTCTGTTCCTTCTTTCCTTCCTTCCTGTCTTTCTTTAAGTGAAGGTGATTTTCTCTGGTGATATAATTTGGTTTCTTGCTTTTTAATTTTTGTGTATATGCATTGTATATGTTTTGGTTTGAGGTTACCATAAGCCTTGCAAATACTATTTTAAATTCCATTATTTTTAAGCTGATAAAAACTTAACACTGTTTGCCTAAACAAACAAACAAAAATGAAACTAATAAAGACTCTGCACCCTAAGTTCATCACCCTAGTTTTTAACTTTTTGTTGTTTCTTCTTATATCTGATTGTCCTATGTCTTGAAAAGTTGTAGTTATTTTTTTATTGGTACATCATTTAGTCTTTCTACTTAAGATTAGAGTATTTTACACACCTCACAGTGTTATAATATTCTGTGTTTTTCTGTGTACTTACTATTACTAGTGAGTCTTGTACTTTCAGATGATTTCTTGTTGCTCATTAATGTTAATGGCCTTTTCTTTCTTATTGAATTACACCCTTTAGCATTTCATGTAGGACAGATCTGGTGTTGATGAAATCCCTCAGCTTTTGTTTGTTTGTTAAAGTCTTTATTTCTTTTTTTAAAATTTTTTTGAGACAGAGTCTCACTCTGTCACCCAGGCTGGAGTGCAGTGGCATGATCTCAGCACACTGCAACCTCCACCACCCAGGTTCAAGCGATTCTCATGCCTCAGCCTCTTGAGTAGCTGGGACTACAGGTGTGCACTGTGAAGCCTGGCTAATTTTTGTATTTTTAGTAGAGATGGGTTTCACCATGTTGGCCAGGCTGGTCTCGAATTCCTGGCCTCCAGTGATCCACCCACATCGGCCTCCCAAAGTTCTAGGATTACAGGTGTGAGCCACTGCCCCTGGCCTCCAGTGATTTTCTCTTTCTTAACAGAAATTTACTTATGTATAATAACATCTCTTTACAATCACACCAAGAAAGTCCTAGGTCTCAGAATCTCTTTTTTATTTTATTGATATAATAGAAATAATGGCTGTCATTTGTGGAAACTGCATGTAAGTCTGGTTGTAAAACAGTGTATTGAGGGTTCAGCCAAAAGCAAACCCCCCCCACCAAAAAAAGAGGAAAAAGGGGAGTAGGAGGGTGTCAGGAAGAGGGGAAGAGACAAAACTTTCAAGAGCTTCTTCATGGAGAGGAAAGAGTTTCCGATGTATGCTAACAGGGATGAAAAAGCAGTTTATCCAACATTGAATAACATAATGGATTTGGGTACACTACAAGTTATATTTTCTGCAACCATTCAACAGGAGCAAAACTTTCCTATTCCCACTCTCACCTCCCGACTCCTGCCCCTGAAGATATAATTGCTAGGATTACTGGTACTCTTCAGATGCAAATCATCAGTGCATTTTTAAACACTCATTTTTTATTATGAAGAATCAGCTACTTTATATATTTACTTTCTAAAATAATATATGTATATATATGATTTGATATATTAATTTTCAGTGTGCTTTTCTATAAAAGAAAATATATATAATATATGTATAATTTGATATATCAATTTCTAGTATGCTTTTCTTTTCTTTTATTGAAAAGCAAAACATACTGAAAATTATATCAAATGATAATTATATTATACATATATATTATTTTAGAATCTGTAATCAAACTTTTTTTCATTACCTGTTTCACAGTTTTTTCATCCCCTTTGGTTACAGAACATATCTTCAAATTATCTCATTTATTTTGCCAATATCACAAGCCCTATGGAAACAGATTTTTTTTCTATTGCACATAATTAATACCAAAGGGGTTTGGGGAAGCACTAGGAAATGAATTGAGGTAAGAAAGATTCTTGAATCATTTGATGAATAATTGCTTTCACAATTACTACTTTGGGACTTTTTTCTCAGTCAACTAGTCACATTTATTCAGGTCCTGATTTGATTGTAGTTGCGTTGTATAATTCAAAAGGCATCAATATCCCATAGCCAAAATATATTTGATACAAAACTAGTTTTGTCTAAAACGCCAGCGTATATAGTTCAGCAATCAAATACTGAACTCTTAAATAAAAGACAGAAAGATACAGCAATTTTTGCTTTGACAAAAGCATAAAGTTAAAGGGAGAAATGACAAAAATGGAATTGGAAATGTACAACAAAGGGAAAGGGCAAAAATTCAGGCATGTTGAAACTATGGAAAAAATCAGAGTGAAACAATTTAAAAATACATTCAGAGTCATTACCTAGATATAGTAAATCACAACAGAGAAATATAATTATTAATACAAATTGAAGAGAAAAAGTAGGAAAACCAATATGCCAAAGTGATTATTTGATAGAAGTATTGGAACTCAACAAGCAATTCCCAGAGAATAAATAAGGGAATGTGCTATCTAAAGAATTAATGTTCAGTTGTTAAGTTCTGCTAATCATACACTAAATTAAACTTTTGAGGAAACTTTTAATATACTGTACTACATTTTGAAATTATTATCATAAATTATGCAGTAAATGATGTTGGGGTAGTTTGGATCAGCAAATCACTTTTATATCAGGATAAATTTTATATGAATAAAAACCCAAACAAACAAAAACATGAAAAAGCCCCCCAAAAACCCCAAACAGAAACAATAGTAAACAAACAGTAAAAGCACCAGAAGGAACCATGGGAGAATGTTGGTTCTTCATTATCCAATTTTGGCATAAGGAGAGTTTTTCTAGGAATAAATAAAAATGCTTTTTAAAAACCTGAAGCCATAAAAAATGATACATTTCACCAATACAATAATTAGAAAAGTTTAAAAAATAGATATACAGAAACATATATTTATGCAGACAAGACTAATTTCCTTAATATATAAAGCACTTCCACTATTGATAATAAATAGATCAACATTCCAAGAAAAAATATATGAATAGACAGAGTATAGGAAAAAATAAATACTAATGACTTTTAAATAAATGAAAAGATGTTCATTTCTATCATAATAAGAGAAATGCAAATTAAGATGCATGGAAATATCATTTCTTATGTAAGATAGTTGCAAAAATATCAAAACATTGATAAAGTTTTTGTTTCCTGTTGCTGCATAACAAATTACCACAAAGTTAACAACTTAAGACAATAGACATTTATTATCTCACGTTTTTTGGGGGGCAGAAATCTGAGCACTGCATGGCTGGATTCTCTGCTCAGAAATGCAAACAAAATCAAGATGCCCGCAGAGCTACACTCCTTTCTGGTGGCTCTAGGGGAAGAACTCGATTCCAAGGTCATTTAGGTTGTCGATAGGATTTAGTTCATTTATACTAGAATATTCAAATTCAAATCAGTAATGGTGTATTAAGTCCTTCTTATACTAAAAATGTCTCTGACTGGCCGGGCGCAGTGGCTCACACCTGTAATCCCAGCACTTTGGGAGGCCGAGGCGGGCGGATCACAAGTTCAGGAGATGGATACTATCCTGGCTAACAAGGTGAAACCCCGTCTCTACTAAAAATACAAAAAATTAGCTGGGCGTGGTGGCGGGCGCCTGTAGTCCCAGCTACTCGGAAGACTGAGGCAGAAGAACGGTGTGAACCCGGGAGGCGGAGCTTGCAGTGAGCCAAGATCGCGCCACTGCACTCCAGCCTGGGTGACAGAGCGAGACTCGTCTCAAAAAAAAAAAAAAAAAAAAAAAGAAATAAAAATGTCTGACTTCTGGCTCACTCCTGAGCTTGAGAAAGCGCTCTTATGTTAAATTAGGCTCACCTGGATACTCTCCGTATCTTAAGATCTGTTATGCCATACAAATTTACATAATCGTGGGAGTGATAAGTCATCATATCCACAGGTTTTGTGAATTAGTTCAGGATATATGAGTGGAGGGGGTATTTTAGAGACCCTGCCTACTACACATACTGTAACAGCTTAGGCGTGGGAAGAAATGTACTCTCATTTTTTGCTAGACTATGATGAATATAAACTCACTGAAGAACAACTTTCTAGTTTCTATTAACAGTGACATTTCTTGATAACCGTCTAGTGACAAGTGCACAGAACTTTGGTCAATTCTCCTTATAGTAATTCTATATTATTCTATAGATATACTCACACATGTGAGAAAAAATATACACGACAACAGTCATCACTACCCTGTTTGTAATTTTAAAAAGATTGCAAACAACTCAAGGTGAATCAGAAGTTCACCAGGTCAATAAATTATTATACATCCACATAATGGAATATTATGCTGTTGTAAAAAATGAAGATACTCTTGATGTACTGATATGACTTCCAAGATGTATTGTTGTGTGAAATAAGCAGTAAAGTAATGATGTAATAGTATGCTACGAGTGATATCAAAAAGAGGGAGAAAATATTCCCCCTTCCCCTGTGCCCCACGGGTACATGTAGCAATGTTTGGAGTTAGTTTGGGTTGTCATAATTGAGGGGAGGGGGATGTGCTACTGACATCTAGTGGGTAAAGGCCAAGGAAGTAGCTAAATATTCTACAATGCAGAGGATAGCACCTTAAAAATATAATTATCTGGTCAAAAAATGTCAATAGTTCTGAGGTTGAGAAATTCTGCTGTAAAGCTACCATTTTGAGATTTTCAGAGTCTTGTTGGTTTTAAAGTTTCATGAAAAAGTTTGTGTCTATTTTGCTCTTTCATGTGAGTACTATATAATTCAGCCAAATTCTTTCCTAATTCTTCACATTTCCATACTGTAAAGTCCTGATATTTTAGATTGCTTGTCTTTCTCTCGATTCCTGTAGATGTTATTATCCAACTGTGTTAAAACTTTCTTGTGATAGATTGACTAAAAGTGCCAACATCCTTTCAGGTAGTACGAGAAATGGCCCTGTAGGAGAGTAAAATAATGCAAAAATTACTCTTGTTACTATCAAGTGAGGCCTCTCCTGATGAGAGATACTGCATGAGATGATTGACTTTCAATTGCCTGTTTCACTCAGGAATCTATAATTACTCAGGAACCAGAGGTATACTTGCCATCAGGTATTTGCCCCCAGTGAACATGAGAGGAAAATCGAGGGTCACCACAGTAGTCTAGAGGTAGGAAAGGTTGGCAGGAGCTTTGGATGGCTAAAACAAGGTTTTTCAAAAGTTATGATACTCAATCTAATAGGGTGATATTATCAGAACTGTTCAACTTCATGGGGACATGCCCTTCAGAGCTCCTGTCCTCTGTTGGTGTCTGCGTTGATTAGATTTAGCTGCTCTATAGGGACTCAAACTAATAGTGCATTAAATATGATTTAGTTTCAACTCTCTCTCAAATAATAGTCCCAGCTGGGTTGGTAGTTTTGCTATACAATTTAGTCAAGGCCCAGGCTCCTTTGATCTTTTCACTCTATCTACCTTAAAGTGATCAGGTGGCCCACTACCATATTTACAATGAGCCCAAGAAGCAAGGTAAGAGGGTAGGGAAAGCATCTCCCACCATTGTAAGGCACCACTTTAACATTATAATTCAGAAGTGGCACAAGTCAGTTACACTCACAACGAAACCTTGTTTGCATGGCTATATCTAGCAACAAGAAAGCCTGGAAAATGTAATCAACCTGTGCAGTCATAGGCACATCTAAAAACTCTACCATGAAAAAATAGGAAAAAATGGATAATGCGGCACAGTTAGCAGTCTCTGAAATAATTTCTGTTTGTAGTAAAGCACACTTGTTACTAACGTTAGAGAAACGTGTATCCTTTGGCCCTGATCTCTTGAAGCCTTTCCTCATTCATCATATCCTTTGTAAAAACAATGGATTATTTTTCTGGTAATTCATCTTGCTGCCATCCAATTCACGCTATTCTATTCTATCCAGGCATTAGTCTCATCACGTTATTCTTATTGGCATGGCTTTTTATTATCTAGAAGAACTTTTAATCATATGCTACGTTAGTCAATTGTATTGTACATTACTCACTTTCAAATTATTTCATAAACACATTGATTACTATACTTTTGTATTTTATGTCAATGATTTTTGGGGAACAGGTGGTTTTTGGCTATCTGAATAACTTCTTTAGTGGTGATTTCTGAGATTTTGGTGACCCTGTCACTCGAGCAGTGTACACTTTGCCCAATATGTAGTATTTTATCCCTCACCCTGCTTCTGCCCTTCTCCCTGAATCTCCAAAGTTCATTATATCATTCTTGTTTTTTTTTTGAGACATAGTCTTGCTCTGTTGCCCAGGCCTGAGTGCAGTGGGACAATCTTGGCTCACTACAACCTCGGCTCACTACAACCTCTGTCTCCTGGGTTCAAGAGAGTCTCCTGCCTCAGATTCCCGAGTAGCTGGGATTACAGGCATGTGCCACCACACTGGCTAATTTTTGTATTTTTAGTAGAGACTGGGTTTCACCATGTTGGCCAGGCTGGTCTTGAACTCCTGACCTCAGGTGATCCACCTGCTTCGGCCTCCCAAAGTGCTGGGATTACAGGCGTGAGCCACCACGCCTGGCCCATTATATCATTGTTATGTCTTTGGATCTTCATAGCTTTGCTCTTACTTATAAGTGAGAACATAGGATATTTGATTTTCCATTCCTCAGTTACCTCACTTAGAATAGCAGCCTCCAACTCCATCCAAGTTGCTTCAAAAGCCATTATTTTGTTTCGTTTTATGGATGTGTGCCTAGAAGAAATCTTTTTATCCTATTTCAGTAACATCTAAGTCAGTACTCTAACCACTATAGTAGATTTTTCTTGATTGCATGCAGACTGCATTTTAAATGAATTATTTGATCTTTTAAATCATTTTTTTCAGTCCTTTAAGCAGATCTAAAAGTAAATATCCAAACATTCTACTAAGGATAATTTTGCATACTTCCTCATTGTTATCCCTGCCTTGTTGTTCAGAAACTCTACACTTCATTAGAATTTCCTCTAGCTATATATGAAGTAGAGCCTTCGATTTCTAGTTCACATGGCAACTTTTATAGTTATTAGATGAGAGTTATATTTTTTCATAAATTAATTCAGAGTAGAATGGCAAGTCTGAATTGAACATTTAGGACGTCTCTCCTTAACTTCAATGGCCCCGTAATAGTACTGTTCATCATTCACTATAATAATAAAATAAAGTTTAACCTTATTTATAATATATACATTGTTTCAGTAAGAACACCTTCTTTGACTTTTACATACAAGTTCTTGCCAACTATGCTGTCTTGGAAATGTGAACAAAAATGCACATGCATATTTAATCCATGGTATATAATCAACATTATTCTTCATGAAGCCCCCAGAAGATTTTTTAAAAAATATAAATAGTATTCTATATGTATAACATATAGAATACTATTTATATTTTAATTATGATTATGCAAAATCTCTTGTCATTTTGTGTTATTTGTTCAACTTTAAAGTAATTACATAAATACACATTGTTGAAAATTTGGCTAAAAACAGCTTATATTTCAGTAAAAAGCCTTGAACTGTTAGTCAACATAATACTGGAAATCTGAGCTAAAGCAATCAGACAAGAGAAATAAATGGAATGGAAGAAGTCAAATTATCTCTGTTTGAGATGATATGATCTTATATTTGGAAAAAAAATCTGAAGACTCCAGGAAAAAACCTATTAGAACTGATAAACAAATTCAGTAAAATTGCAGGATGCAAAATCAACATACAGAATCAGTAGCATTTCTATATGCCAACAGTGAACAATATGAAAAAGAAATTTAAAACGTAAGCCCACTTGTAATAGCCACAAATAAAATTAAATATCTAGGGATTAACCAAAGAAATGAAAGATCTCTAAAATTAAAATTATGAAATGCTAATGAAAAAAATGAAGAGGACACAAAAAAATGGGAAACTATTCCATGTTCATGAATTGGAAGAATCAATATTGTTAAAATGTCCATAAGACCCAAAGCAATCTGCAGATTCAATGTAATCCCTATCAATATACCAATGACATTCTTCACAGAAATAGAAAAAACAATACTAAAATTTATATGGAACCGCGTAAGACCCATAGTAGCCAAAACTATCCTAAGCAAAAAGAAAGAAACAGAACGAATCACATTATCTTACTTCAGATTATACTACAGAGCTATAGTAACCAAAGCAGCATCATGATACTGGCATAAAGACAGACACACAGACCAATGGAACAGAAGAGAGAACCCAGAAACAAATCCACATACCTACAGTTAACTCACTTTTGACAAAGGTGCCAAGAACATACACTGGGGAAAAGACAGCCTCTTTAATAAATGGTGCTGGAAAAACTGGATATCCATATGCAGAAGAAAACAAACCCCATATATCT
This sequence comes from Homo sapiens, assembly GCF_000001405.40. Classification (NCBI taxonomy): domain Eukaryota; kingdom Metazoa; phylum Chordata; class Mammalia; order Primates; family Hominidae; genus Homo; species Homo sapiens. The sequence goes on from NC_000023.11 coordinate 35,916,005, forward strand.
CGTCATATACAAATATCAAACCAAAATGGGTTAAAGACTTAAATTTAAGACTTCAAACTATAAAACTGCTATTAGAAAGCATTGAGAAAACTCTCCAGAGTCCTGTTCTGGGCAAAAATTTATTGAGTAGTACCCCACAAGTACAGGCAAGCAAGGCAAAGATTGACAAATAGGATCACATCAAGTAAAAAAGCTTGTGTACAGCAAAGGAAGTAGTAATCCATAAAGTGAAGAGACAACACACAGAATGGGAGAAAATATTGGCAAACTACCCATCTAACAAGGGATTAATAACCAGAATATATAAGGAGCTCAAACAACTCTATAAGAAAAAAAAAACTAATGATCCAATCATGAAATGAACAAAAATTTGAATAGACATTTCTCAAAAAGAGACATATAAATGGCAGTTACATGAAAAGGTGTTCAGCATCACTGATCATCAGAGAGATGCAAATGAAAACTATAATGAGCTATCATCTCACCACAAATAAAATGGCTTTTATCCAAAAGTCAGGCAATAATAAATGCTGGAAGGGAATCCTCATACACTGTCGGTGGGAATGTAAATTAGCACAATCACTCTGAAGAACAGTTTGGAGATTCCTCAATAAGCTAAAAACTGACCCACCATGTGATCCAGCAATCCCACTGCTGGGTATATATCCAAAAGAAAGAAAATCAGTATATCAAAGAGGCATCTGCACTCCCACGTTTGCTGCAGCACTGTTCACCATAGCTAAGACTTGAAAGCAACCTAAGTGTCCATCAACAGATAAATGGATAAAGAAAAATGGGGCATTATTCACAATAGCAAAGACTTGGAACCAACCCAAATGTCCAACAATGATAGACTGGATTAAGAAAATGTGGCACATATACACCATGGAATACTATGCAGCCATAAAAAATGATGAGTTCATGTCCTTTGTAGGGACATGGATGAAATTGGAAATCATCATTCTCAGTAAACTATCGCAAGAACAAAAAACCAAACACCGCATATTCTCACTCATAGGTGGGAATTGAACAATGAGAACACATGGACACAGGAAGGGGAACATCACACCCTGGGGCCTGTTGTGGGGTGGGGGGAGGGGGGAGGGATAGCATTGGGAGATATACCTAATGCCAGATGATGAGTTAGTGGGTGCAGCGCACCAGCATGGCACATGTATACATATGTAACTAACCTGCACATTGTGCACATGTACCCTAAAACTTAAAGTATAATAATAAAAAAAGAAAAATGGGGTACATATACACAATGGAGAACTATTCAGACATAAAAAAAGGAACGAGGTCCTGTCATTTGCAACAATGTGGATGGAACTGGAGATCATTATGTCAAGTGAAATAAGCCAGGCACAGAAAGAGAAACATTGCATGTTCTCACTTATATATGGGATCTAAAAATCAAAACAGTGAACTCATGCATAAAGAGAGTAGAAGGATGATTTCCAGAGGCTGGGAAGGGTAGTGGGGGGCACTGGGAGAGGTGGGGATGTTTAATGTGTATTAAAAAATCATTTAAAAGAATGAATAAGACCTACTGTTTGCTAGCACAACAGGGTGACTTGACTATAGCCAATAATTACTTAATTGTACATTTAAAAATAACTAAAAGAATGTAATTGAATTGTTTGTAACACAAAAGCTAAATGCTTGAGGTGATGGATACCCCATTCTCCATGATGTACTTATTTCACATTACATGCCTGTATCAAACCATCTTATGTAACCCATACATATATACACCTACTATATACCCACAAAAATTAAAAATTGAAAAAATTAAAAAGTCTTTATATGGCCATTCTTTGAAAATAGAAACTGAACAAGAGAGTTTAGAGCTAAACATGTGATGCAAATATTAGACTATTTCATCTAAAATTAATAGTTTGAGTGGATAAAAGAATATATAAGAAGCCAAGAAGGTTTATGTATAGTTACTAAGGACAATGGATTGAGCTTTAGGCTTGTTGAACTTGTAGAGCTATGTGACATTCCTCCTTTGTTGATGAGAATACCAACAGAACAGATAAACAAAATTGTTCTTCATTTGATTTTTATTGCCATATCTTTGGATTATACACAGAAGTCCAGACTTGGCTTTTATCCTTGAGAGTAAAAAATTAGGGAGTTTTGAGGCTTCTTCGCAGTTTCCAATTTTTTCAGAAATTGATTGAGGGGCTTTGTATGAGCTGTGGTCTTGATTCAGTCAAGTTATATGAACTATTGTTATTTCAATGCTGTAAAATTGTCCTGCTTAGGGGCTCAGGAACATGGACAGGATTTGTATTGTGATATGGTAGTAGCGACTAGTATAAAAATTCCAGCCATGATTCACATCTCCCACTTGTTAAACCAAGATCTATAGAATTTTGAAAGATAATGTCGATGGTTTGCATCTATCAATTCCTAAGAATTTACAAATAATAATCACCACTTCTGCTGTTTTTCAACTATTGACAGCAGTTCCAAGAAATGTGACTACTTGTCTTTGTATTTAGAACTACTTATTAATCTCTGCATCCTTGTGGAAAATGAAGCAAGAAATTCTTTATCATCTTGGTACTGTGAGAACCTTGTAAAAGTGTTGTGGGAAAGGTTTTACTGTTCAAGAATGACTAACTGTTTGGCTGGCAGATGGAGAGGCCATTCTCCTCAGAGTGAACATAATGTGCAGTAGCAAGGAGTAAATGAAAGCGTGTGGTATATTTTGAAACTCTGAGATAACAGAAGAAGGACGAGGAGAGAGTAGGGACTGGGCAATGTGAATATGAGTTTGTTGGAAAAGTCCTCATCTAGCAGCGAAGACGTGTGATCTCTATCTCCTGAGCAACACCATTTCACAAATGAGGACCCTGGAACAGTTAACAAGGTTCCTAAAGCCTCTATATTCAATGTGTGGCCCCGGAACCAGAAGCATTGTAATCACCTGGAAGCTTGCTTGTCATAAATACAGATACTTAGACCTTGCTTCAGACATACTGAAACAGAATCTGCATTTTAACAAAAGACCCAGAGGATTGCTTTTACATTGTGTGTGTGTGTGTGTGTGTGCATTTAAAAAGATACAGGTGTCACAATTTCTTATTGTTTGGTCAATTTTAAAATTTAATACTGTATAATGGATATCTCTTATGTCAACACAGATCTACGTTATTATTCATCATAAATAAACAGTAAGTTATTGTATCCATCGCTACTGATTGGTATTCATATTAATCCAATATTTTGCTATTGTAAGAAACATTCTGATTCAGAAACGCTGACGTAAAGACCTCTGAGCAGGACATCTAGGAGACACTGACTTTGTTATATCTCCCTTTCTGTTATATCTTGCTGCCTTAATAGACCACGTGGGCACATCACTTTCACTGATCTTTTTTTTCTTTGTAAATGTAAATTTTAATTGAATTATAAGGCCAGTTTACAGTGCATCTGTGGGCAGATTTCTTTAAAATGCATGGTACTTTAAACTTTGTCTTACGAGAGGTCCAGGAAAATGCCCACTAAGCCTCTGTGATTTTAATACCGTGCCAGGCCATGGCAAAGTGAGGTGCCTCTGACGTTTGGGCTGCCACAGCGTGTTTTTCAGTTACTCTGGTAACACCTGTGACCTGAGGGTTATTCTATTCGCGTTAGCAACTCGCGCGGGTTGGGAGGCGCCAATGAGAGCAGGGCTTGAAACTAGCGCTTGGCGTCTGATGGTTGCCTAGCGACGGTCGTCGACGCTAATCCTTGGCCGGACGGATCCACATCTGTTTTCTGGCTACCGAGAGGGCAGCCATGAACACCCAAAAGGGTTCCCTCACCATAAACGTCCACAGAGGTTCCCTCGCCATGAGCATCCAAAGGGGTTCCCTCGTCCCCCGGGATATGGATAGCTCGGGTAGAGACATGCAGCTGCGGGTGATCCCGGCTGAGGTGAAGTTCCTGGACACGATGGCCGGGAGGGTGTACCGCCTCCCGATTACTGTGCATAATATTTGCCGCTGGAACCAGAAAATCCGATTTAAGGAGCCCGTCAAGCCACAGGTGACACACTAAGGGGTGCTGGGAGCGGGACCTTGTGAGAGCGCCTCCTCACACTGCGTCTCTCTTTGCCCCAGGGAGTAGTCATCTGGCTCCTGCCGGGATGGAGGGAGGATTGGGCTTCCCGGGAAACAGTGACAGGTTTCTGTGTGTGTGCTCTTTTTGTTTCTCTTTGTTTTCTGTTTTGTTTAGGATTAGGAGATGGGGAGGGCAGGGTGGAGAAAAGCTGACCTAGAGCCTCCCCATTTCTTCAACCTGGGTTTAGAAACTTGTTAACAATCCCAAAATCTGTGCAACTTGGTTTTATGATTTTGCTGTTGCCTTAAGAATTATGAGAACAAAATTCTCTATTAACTGCCCTTTGAATCATAAAGTGCCTGATAACTCCAGGAACTGTAGGATTAGTGGAAAGGTTCATTATTTCATATTTTAACAAACATTTGTTAAGCACCTACTATATAACGGGTAATAGACATGAGGAATACGGAATGGACACAGCCCTGCCCTCATAGAACTTAGAAACTAATGAGGGGGTTTTAGTACAGATCTAACCATCAAGAAAGTTAATGTTCTGAGAGGGTGTTTCTATCTTCTAATTTAAAGTGGGCAGAATTTCCTCTGTATCTCACTGTGTTATTTTACATCATGTGTGTGAATGGATGGTTATTAGTTCAGTATGATCACATTTTCTCAGGCAAATTTTTGATATAGGAAATGCGATAAGAATTTTTGAAATGTAAGCAATAAATAACTGAAAACTTCAAGAGATATTCCTAATAAAAAGTAGTGTTGAATACAGCTGGACTATATGTGCAGAAAAAAAAGATGTCCGTAATTTTAGATTAAATTTACATATATTTCTTTGTATATATGTAGAAAAACCTATGTTAATGATTAGAAGAGCAATGAGAAAAAGGACTTCCATGTTCTAATTTTTGCTCTGTTAAAAAAATCGATGTATTATTTACTTACTAAAGTGCACAGATCTCAAAAGTAAAGTTTGATGAATTTACAAAAAAATAAATATGTGTGTGTGTAGATAGATAGCTAGATAGATAATCTCCATTAGCTACCACCTGGATCAAATAATAGAATATGTTCACTACCCCAGAAGATCCCCAGTGCTTCTTCCTTACAGTACCTGGAGTAATCACCCTGTGGAACTGACCACTATTCTGATTTCTAACATGGTAGATTAGTTTGGCCTCTCCTTGGCTTTCATATAAATGGAATCAGGTTTTAATGATTTTCATATTTAAATATTTTTATTAAAAAGTATATCTCAAGAGACTATTAACTCCTCTTTAAATCAAAAAGTACTTGCTTACTCCAGACACTGTAAAATTAAGGAAAGCCTGTGTTATTTCACTACCTTAGCACATATTTATTGAACAATTACTTGTGTATCTGAAAATACTTTCTTTTGAAACAAGCTGGTGGTAATAATGTTTGGATGTGGACAACCACTATTTTATGGATGTTCAGGGGACACTTGTATGGATGGTTTCTGTGCAGTAACAAGAAAAATATTATAATTGGTTTTATTTCAGTTTATATCTAGGATATAATGGAAAACAATTCATTCCACAAGTCTTGACATTGACAAGAGAACATCTAGATATGCTTAGTAGTTAGAAGCCAATATCAGTGTGAATTTTCCTTTGTTGCAAGACTATGAAATGCACTCCTGATCCTTCATAAAGGGAATTAGATAAATAGTGAAAAGTGCATCTTGTTGGGGTGGGGGATAAGAAAAAGTAAAAACAAGGTGCTGTGGAAAGGGCATTGTCATCATCACTATTATAATCACTCAGAAAATGATTCCTCTAACATACAGCAGTGCTTGTTTTTCACCCAGACTCAAGAACCTGCATTGACCCTATGTATTGAATACCCACTATGTGTCATAGATTGCTGGTAGAAAAATAAGAAGACACATACTTTATCTTCAAAGAAAATATAATTGATAGTACTATTACTGATTTTCAATAACATCCTTCAATCTCACGAACACTATCCATCTAAGAGTGTTTTTATGGCTTGTGTGGCCTCTGGTCTGGTCAGACCAGCCTTACTCATACCTGCCCCCTCTCCCTTATGACTCAGACTTCTTTTTCTTCTCACCCACATTTTCATACCCTGTCATCTGCAAAAATCATCCCTTTCCAAATCCCATGCATCTTTTAAGGTCAATGTGAGTTCTCATTTTCTCTAAGAAGTCTGTTATTATTTTATCCCCAAATTATTTCTGTCTTACTGGATACCATTTTCATTTACAGACATTCCTTATAGTTTGAATTTGTGTCCCTATGCCTCTTGTTAAATGTTAGTACTGCCTCCATTTTCAGCTCATAAACTGCTAAGAGTAGGGATGGTGCCTTGCACACATTTGCATCTCACTAAGAGTGCTCAACAACATGCAGTTTGACCAAAAGCACATGGTTCTGAAGTATTGGTTTTCCTTCTTGAAACTATAGCTTACTTACAAGAAGATAGTCAAACCTGATATGTGGACTTCCAACACCCAAAGGCTTATGTGGAAAATATTGTATCCCTTGTTTTCCTTCTGTTCTATAAATTGCACGAGGGTTGAGAGTTCAAATGTGGTAGTTAGGAGGTATCAGCATTGTTTGCTGAAAGCATGAAGCTCCCAGATCAGTGTTACTTCCAAATCACTCCACTTCTCTATATCCTTAATTGCTGCAAAGCACTATTTAGACTCAGCCTCACATTAGAATCCCTGAATAATCATTTTCAACATAACCTCCATTGTTTCTGATTGAGGACTCTTGCCCAGGGAGGCTGGCTTATTATCTGCTTTCTGAGAGACTATTTTGCTTATTCTTGTTTCTGCTTGTGTCTGAGATATTTTTACACCTATAATGAGCACCTTCCTCGCTTCTTCTCCACCTTTAATATCCATTCTCTAAGACTAGGCCAGGTACACTCCTTTCTAGCCCACAATAATCATGTCCTCTCATGGATTTTCTTGACACTTATGTCTCTATCACTCATATGGTGCTTAACTAGTCCCTGGCTTATATTTAATTTTCAAGGGGTTTGTAGTCTGCTTCCTTAAAGAGATTATGTATTCAGGAGAGGGACTCTTTCTAGTTGAAGGGGAGGAAGTGCTTATGATTTAGAGTCAGATAGATATGTTTTTGAGTCTTCACTTCCTGAGTGACTTCAGACGTTAATTATACTTTACATGTCCCAGTTCCCTCATCTATATACTGAGAGCCTTAATATCAGCCTCACAGGACTGTAGAAGTGTATTTACATAAGATAATACATGTAAAATGCTTGACACATTATAAATGCATAATAGATATTATTTCTCTTTTTTCTCCCTTTATATTTTTCCTGGCATCTAGCAAACGTCTTACTAGAACAAAAGTGTTTTTATCCTCTTTGTTGTATTCTTCTTTTATTTTTCCTCCAAGTTATGAAGCTCAAATTCCCATGGATAAAGCATATAAAATATACATATGAGGGCTGGGCACGACGGCTCATGCCTGTGATTCCCAGCACTTTGGGAGGCCGAGGCGGGCAGATCACGAGTTCAAGAGATTGAGATCATCCTGGCCAACATGGTGAAACCCCGTCTCTATTAAAAATACAGAAATTAGCTGGGCATGATGGTGCACACCTGTAGTCCCAGCTACTCAGGAGGCTGAGGCAGGAGAATTGCTTGAACCTGGGAGGTGGAGGTTGCAGTGAGCTGAGATTGCACCACTGCACTCCAGCCTGGCGACAGAACGAGAATCCGTCTGAAAAAAAAAAGTGTATATATATATATATGTGTGTATATATATATGTACATATATGTATATATGTACATATATATGTGTATATATGTACATGTGTATATATGTACATATATATGTGTATATATGTACATGTGTATATATGTACATATATGTGTATGTATGTGTATATATGTACATATATGTGTATATGTGTAAATATATATGCACATATATATGCACATATATGTGTATATGTACATGTATGCGCACATATATGTATATATGTACATGTATGCGTACATATATGTATATATGTACATGTATGCGTACATATATGTATATGTGTACATGTATGCGTACATATATGTATATATGTACATGTATGCGTACATGTATGTGTATATATGGACATGTATGTGTGCATGTATGTGTATATATGGACATGTATGTGTGCATATGGACATGTATGTGTACATGTATGTGTATATGTACATGTATGTGTACACATATGTATATATGTACATGTATGTGTATATGTGTACATATATGTGTGCATATGTGTATATATGTATATGTGCATATATGCACACATATGTGTATATATGCACACACATATGTGTATATGCACACATATGTGTATATATGTACACCTATATGTGTATATAGGTGCACCTATATGTGTATATATGTGCACCTATATGTGTATATAGGTGCACATATATGTGTATATATGCACATATATGTGCACCTATATGTGTATATATGCGCATATATGTGTATATATGCGCATATATACACACGTGCATGTGGGTATATATTATGTATGTATATGATTGAGCAACATTTTTATTAGGTTGTTCTTCCTTTTTTCTGTATTCAGATTTTAAGCTTCTTAGAATAGAAGCCACGTTAGTTCTATAAGTATCTTATATTTTTAAAGTAGTCCATTGGCATTTATATGTTTCTTAGCTACCTGCATTGTCAGATTCAAGTTGTGTACTCTTGAAAGCATATCTTAAATATTTAGAATCAGATAGGTAAAAACATGAGCATTAAGTCTTTGCCTTTAGGTACATAAGACAAATATCACTTGCTCTCACTTACATGTGAAATATAAAAATTCAGACTCGTAGAAGTAGAGAGTAGAATGGTGGTTACCAAAGGCTGAGGGTTGGGGTGGGCAGAGAAAGGAAAAATGTTGGTCAAAGGGTACAAAGTTTCAGTTAAACAGGAAGAATGAGTTCCGGTGATCTATTGTACAGCAAGGTGACTATAGTTAATAATAAAGTATTGTATGGCTGGGTGCCGTGGCTCACGCCTGTAATCCCAGCACTTTGGGAGGCCGAGACAGGTGGATCATGAGGTCAGGAGATCGAGACCATCCTGGCTAACACAGTGAAACCCCATCTCTACTAAAAAATTACAAAAAATTAGCTGGGCGTGGTGGCGGGTGCCTGTAATCCCAGCTACTCGGGAGGCTGAGGCAGGAGAATGGCGTGAACCCCAGGGGGCGGAGCTTGCAGTGAGCAGAGATCACGCCACTGCACTCCAGCCTGAGCAACAGAGTGAGACTCCATCTCAAAAAAAAAATAATAATGTATATCTCAAAATTGCTAAAAGAATGGATTTTAAATGTTCCCAGTACAAATAAATAAGTGATGTGATGGATATGTTAATTAGCCTGATTTGCTCATTCCACAATGTATACCTGTATTAGTACATCATATTGTAGTCAACGAATATATACAATTATTTGTCAATTAAAAATAAAATTAAAATTAGAAAGTCTTTGGCATTAGGGCAGGAATAGAGCCTGTATTTTGATAATAATATAACACTCCTAACTATAGTTGCTAACGTTATTTATTTATTTATTTTTTGAGACCGAGTCTTGCTCTGTCACCCAGGCTGGGGTACAATGGCACGACCTCGGCTCACTGCAATCTCCACCTTCTGGGTTCAAACAGTTCCCCTGCCTCAGCCTCCTGAGTAGCTGGGACTACAGCTGCACACCACCACGCCCGGCTAGTTTTTTGTATTTTAGTAGAGAAGGGGTTTCACCATGTTGGCCAGGATGGTCTCGATCTCCTGACCTCATGATTCGCTGGCCTCCACCTCCCAAAGTGCTGGGATTACAGGCGTGAGCCATTGTGCCCAGCCATGGTATTTTTTTTTTATAAGGAGTTAAAATGTATAATTTGACTCTCTTTCTCCCACTGAAGTTCAAACTGATGTTGACCAGTCTGGATAAAGAACTTGCTTCTGGCCTTCAGATGACAGCTATGGTGGAATATCATCCTGATAAAGACGAAGACACTTTTGACCGGCTACTTATTTCAATAGAAAATAAAACAACAGAAATTCCTCTAATTGGGTATGTAATCTTCATAGTTCATGCTGACATTTTGAATACTCTTTAAATAAAAATGAGGGTCAAAGTAATATTTTGTATTTTTTCTGACATAGTTTCCTGACAGTTGAACTTAAAGGACACATTTTTAGAAAATAGTAGTGTTTGTAAGAAATGAAACCTCATTCTCTGTTATTTTTATTTAAAAAACGACATTCAACAATTGAATGTATTAATAATTGAATTTTTGCAAACTTGTATTCACATTTTAATTTAATTTTAAAGTATTGTCAGGTTCACTTCACCAAATTTTAAATTAGGCAAATGTTTGGTGTCAAAAAAATCAAAATGCTGTTCTTCTGAGACTGGTTGAAAAATATGGATGGATGTAAGTATAAAAAAGAGCTAAGTGACTGACTTGGTTGTTACAAATTATTTAACCAGGATGAATGATGATTCATTTGTTGTTTTTTAATATTAAAAAGTATATTTCTGTTCATCATAAATTTATCAAAGTTAGTGTTAAAATTTAAAGTGTTTCTTTATTTATATACATACATATATGATCCTCCTTTTCCCCAGCAGAATGTGGTTTCCATAGGTGTTTTCTTTTGCCTCTATTTGCCCACCACCTACAGAATTAATTTGGAATATTTTCTGCGGATTACATGGTATTAGATATATACCTTTTACAAAATTCCCTTCTATTCAGGCTGGGTGCAGTGGCTCATGCCTGTAATCCTAGCACGTAGCACTTTGGGAGGCCAAGGCGGGTGGATCACTTGAGCTCAGGAGTTGGAGACCAGCCTGGGCAACATGGTGAAACCCCACCTCTACAAAAAATACAAAAAAAAGAAAAAAAAACCTGGGAGTGGTGGCGCATGACTGTAGTCCCAGCTACTTGTAGGGCTGAGGCAAGAGGATCACTTAAACCCAAGAGGTAGAGGCTACAGCGAGCCGAGATCACGCCACTGCACTCCAGCCTGGATGACAAAGTGAGACCCTATCTCAAAAAAAAAAAAAAAATTCCCTTTCTTTTTCATTTCTATAAACTAAATTTAGATCCTCAATTATTTTGTTTCTTTGTGTTGTTGAGAAGTTCTGATTTAGCACATCATCCCATTTTTGCATAGGAATCAAACAGTAGACACATGGTAGGAAAAAAACAAGCTATTAACCCAGTATAAATATTTAATTCGTGTTTTGCAGTTTAAGTAGAACCATTTTGTATGCATTCTGCACTTTGACATATCTATGACTGGCACTCAGATTTGCTTGTTTGTGGTATGTATGGAGAGACAGGTTGAAGATGCTTCTGTCCTTGAAAACAGAGATTTTTTTCTTGTTTCCAGAGTATATGCCCTCTCTCATCAGAAGCCTGTTTCTCACCATGGTTGCAATATAAGAAGAGCACTGCCCTTCTTTTGGTGTGATGGACAGGGTTGAAGGAAGGTGTGTGTGTGTGTGTGTGTGTATGTGTGTGTGCATGTGTGTTATTAATTTCTACACATTTTTTATCACCTGCGTAGGTTCTTGTATCCACCACCACAGTCAAGATAGTGAACAGTTCCAATACCACAAGAAAGTCCCTCCTGTTGCTTTATTACAACTGTATCTACTTCCCTTCTGCCTCACACCCACGAACCCTAAACTGTGGATACTGCTAATCTGTCTTCTACATCTCAAATTTTTGTCATCTCAAATATATTACATAAATCGAATCACACACTATGTAGCCTTCTGTTTTTTTCTTGCAGCAAAATTTCTTGTAGCAAAATCTTGCAAGAGATTCAGCCAAGTTGTTGAATGTATCAATATTTTGCTCCTTTTTATTGCTGAGTAGTATTCTATTTTATATATATATATATATGTATATATATATATCACAATTTGTTTAACAATTGACCTGTTGAAGAACAAAGGGACAGATTCCAGTTTTTAGCTATCACAAATAAGCTGCTTTAATATTCCTGTACAAGTATTGTCTGAGCATAAGTTTTTATTTTTTCTGGGATAAATGCTCATGAGTGTAATTGTAGGGTCATATAGTAATTACATATTTTGTTTAACAGAAAATCCCAAATTGCTTTTCAGAGCGCCTGTACCATTTTACATTTCAAAGAGTGATACATGAGTAATCCACTTTTACGGTATCTTTGCCAGTATTTTTTGCTTTCATCACTACTTAAAAATTTTAGCTATTCTGATAGATATTTAATGGAATCTCTCCATAGTTTTAATTTGCATTTCCCCAATGAATAATGATGTTGACAACATATTTTCAGGTGCTTCTTTGCCATCTGAGTACCCTCTCTAGTGAAATCTCTGTTAATGTGTTTTTCTCATTTTATGATTACATTGCTCTTTATTATTGAGTTTTGCAATTTCTTTGTATATTCTGGATACAAGTCTTTTGATGGTTATGTGGCTTGCAAATATGTTCTCCCAGTTTGAGGTTTGACTTTTCATCCTTTTAACTGGGTATTTTGTAGAACAAAAGGGTTTTTTTTTTAAACGTTCAATGATGTCCAATTTATCAATTTTCCTTTAATTAGTACTGCTTTTAGTGTTAAGTCTAAGAACTCTTTACCTAATCCTTGATCATAATGGTTGAAGATTTTCTTCTATTTTTAACTTTTAAAGTTTTACATTTAAGTCTATGATATATTTTGAGTTAATTTTTGTATAAAGTGTGATTTACATTGAGGTTCTAATTATTTCCTATAGATGTTCAATTGCTCTGACCAAATTTGTTGAAAAAGCTATTTTCCTCCATTGAATTGTGTACCCTTGAAAAAAATCACTTCAACATAATCTGCATTGGTCTATTTCTGTGTTCTGCATTTTTTTTCCATTCATCTGTGTATCCATACGTTTGCCAACATCATGCTACCTTAATTACCTTTGCTATATAGTAATTCTTAATATCATGTAGAATAATTCCTCACGTGTTATTCTTCTTTGTCACCATTAGTTTAGTTATCAAAATATCTCTACCTTTCCATGTAAATTTTAGAATAATCTTTCTGAGCCTGCAAAAAAAAAATAACTTGCTGGGCTTTTGAGAATAATTGAGCTTAGCTTATAGATCAATTTGAGGGAAATAGACATCTTTACTATAGTAATTCTCCCCAAACATGAATGTGCTATGTCTTTCCATTTATTTGGGTCTTCTTTGATTTCTTTTATCACTATTTTGTAATTTTCAGCCCAGAGATTCTCTACATGTGTTGTTAAGTGTATAACTATTTCATTTTCTTTGGAGTGATTGCAAATAATATTGTGTTTTTAATTTTGGTTACTGCATATTCCTTGTTGCTATATACAGAGAAGTGATTGATTTTTGTTTGTTGACATTGTATCCTCTGACCTTGCTGAACTCCCTTTTTAGGAGGTTTTTGTATGTTTTTTTAGATTCCTTGCCATCTTATATGTAGATAATCGTGCCATCTGTAGACAGGGATAATTCGTTTGTGTGTTTTTTCCCATTCAAAAGCATATGCTTTTTACCTTTTTTTCTTTCTTTATTTCCATGGCTATAACTTTCAGTATTATGTTGTGTAAGAGTGGTGAAGCTGGCTTGGTGGCTCACGCTTGTAATCCCAGCACCTCGGGAGGCTGAGGCAGGCGGATCACTTGAGGCCAGGAGTTCGAGACCAGCCTGGCCAACATGGAGAAACCTCGTCTCTACTAGAAATACAAAAATTAGCTGGGCGTGGTGGTGCACACTTGTAATCTCAGCTACTTGGAAGGCTGAGGCACGAGAATCACCTGAGCCTGGGAGGTGGAGGTTGCAGTGAGCTGAAATCATGCCAATGCACTTCAGCCTGGGTGACAGAGTGAGACTGTCTCAAAAAAACAAAACAAAACAAACAAACAAAAAAAAACAGTGAGACATCCTTTCCTGACGATTTTAGCTGTCAGTATTTTTGGATGGCCTTTATCAAGTTGAAGTAATTCCCAACTATTCTAAATTGCTAAGAGTTTTTATTATAAAGGAGTGTTAAATTTTGTCAGATGCATTTTCTGTGTCAACTTACATGATCATATTTTTTTTCCATAACTTAGTGATATGATGGATTACATTGGTTAATTTCTTAATGTTGAATCAGTCTTGCCCTTGTATACATGAAATAAATCCATTTTAGTCATCATGTATCATTCTTTTTATATATCCTGGAATTTGATTTGCTCATGTTTTATTAGGGATTATTGTGTCCCAGTTTATTAGTGATATTGGTTTATAGTTTGATTGATTGATTGATTTCTTTGCTTTTTTTAATTGTCATTGTATGGTTTAGCTATCAGGATAGTGCCAGCCTCATAAAATGAATTTGGAAATGCTGCGTCTTCTATATTCTAGAAGAGCTTATTTAATATTGATAGCAATTATTTAAATGGTAGAATTCTCTAGTGGAACTGTCTGGCCTGGAAATTTTTCTTTCAGAATGTTTTAAATTATGAATTTAGTTTTTTGATGCTTATAGGGCTATTCATACTGCCTATATTATTATGTTGTTACTGTAGTTTCTCATTTCCATGGAATTCTTCCAACTCTAAGTTGTCAAATTTATGATTTTAGAGCTGTTAGAAATTTTTTCTGATTATTTTTAAATAAATAATAAGCTGCTGCATCTGTAGTGATATCCTTTCTTTCATTTCTGATGTTGAACATGTGTGTATTTTGTCCTTTTTAAAAGTATTGCTAGTGGTTTATCAACTTTATATTTTTTCCAAAGAATCAGCTTTCTATCGTTGACTTTCCTTTCATTTTATTTTAAATTCCGTTGATTGCTGCTCTCTATTATTTCTTTTCTTCTGTTTGATTTGAATTAATATTGCTCTTGTTCTAGTTTTTGATATTGGAAATTAGATAATGAGTTTGAGAAAATCTCTCATTTCTAATGTAAATATGTAACGTTATAAATGACCCTCAGCACTGCTTTAGCTGTGTCCTACAAATTTTTATATATTTTTATTTTGACTCAATTCTATGTATTTAATTTTTTTTAAAGTTTCTCTTTGACTCCTGGATTATTTAGAAGTGTGTTAATTTCCACAGGTTTATTATGGACATATTTATGATCGTTATTCCTTTCTGGTAGATTGATCCTTTTATTATATATAATGTCCCTCCTTGTGCATGGTGATTTTCTTGCACTGAAGCCTCTAGTAGATATTAATGTAGCTTTTTGCACTTTTTTTTCTAAGTAAAATTTGAATACTATGTTTTTTCCTATTCGTTTACTTTCACCCTACTATGGCCTTGAATTTAAACTGAGTTTTTTCTAAGCAGCAGCATATAGTTGGGCAATGGTTCCCTTCCCCATATTTCGACCTCTGTCTTTGGATTGTTGTATCTAGGCTATTTATATTTAAGTTAATTTGTATATGCTATAATTTGTCTGCTTGTTTATTATTTGTTTTCTCATTGTTCTCTTTGTTTCTCATACTTCTGTTTCTCATTTTTGCATTCCTGTAGGTTAATTGAAGGTTATTTTAGGGTTGCATCTTGATTTATTTATACTGTTTTGTGTGCATCTCTTTGCATAATTATTGTAGTGGTTTTTCTGGATACTTCAATATGCATACATGATATAATATTCTAGTGGCATAAACATTTTGTCACTTTAAGTGAAGTGTAGAAGCTTCATTTCCATTTGAGTCTTTTTTTCTTTCCCTACTTTTAAATATTACTGTCTTGAATATCTAAGGGTGTTATGATTCTTGTTTTCATCATCAAATATAATTTATAAAACTTATGAGGAAAAATATAGCTGATTGTATGTAGCTAGTGCTTTGCTATTTCCATTGCTCCTCCCCCTCTCCCTCCCTCCCTCCTTTCCTTCCTTCTTGGCTTCCTCCCTCCCTCCCTCCCTCCTTTCCTTTCTTCCTTCCTTGCTTCCCTCCTTTCTCTTTTTTGAGGCAGGGTCTTCCTCTGTTGCCCAGGTTGGAGTTCAGTGGTGTCAACATGGCTCACTGCAACCTCAACCTTCTGGGCTCTAATGATCCTCCCTCCTCAGCCCCCCAAGTTGCTTGGACTACAAACATGCACCACCAAGCCTGGCTAATTTTTTCTTTCTTTCTTTTTTTCTTTTCTTTTCTTTCTTTCTTTCTTTCTTTTTTTTTTTTTGAGATGGAGTCTCTCTCTGTTGCCCAGGCTGGAGTGCAATGGCGCAATCTCGGCTCACTGAAACCTCCACCTCCCAGGTTCAAGTGATTCTCCTGCCTCAGCCTCCTGAGTAGCTGGGATTACAAGCACCCGCCACCACGCACTTTTAATTTTTTGTAGAGGTGGGGTTTCACTATGTTGTGCAGGCTGGTCTGAAACTTTTGGGCTCAAGCAATCCTCCCACCTTGGCCTCCCAAAATGCTGGGATTACAGGTGTGAGCCACCATGCTCAGCCTGCTCCATTTTTTTCTTTCTGATACTCCAAGATTCTCTCTTTTATTATTTCCTGACTTTCTGAAGAACTTTATTATATTTAATTTTTTTTTTTTGAGACGCAGTCTCACTCTGTCGTCAGGCTGGAGTGCAGTGGCGTGATCTCAGCTCACTGCAACCTCTGCCTCCTGGGTTCAAGTGATTCTCCTGCCCCAACCTCCTGAGTAGTTGGGATTACAGGCACGTGCCACCATGCCCAGCTAATTTTTGTATTTTTAGTAGAGATGAGGTTTCACCAGGTTGGCCAGGATGGTCTCGGTCTCTTGACCTTGTGATCTGCCCGCTTTGACCTCCCAAAGTGCTGGCATTCAGGTGTGAGCTGCCATGCCTGGCCATATTTAATTTTTATGGGTGCATAGTATGTGTATATATTTAAGGTTCACATGAGATATTTTGATACAGGCATGCAATGACTAATAATCACATCAAGATAAATGAGGTATCCATCACCTCAAGCATTTATCCCTGTGTTACAAATAATTCAGTTACAGTCTTTTAGTTATTTTAAAATGTACAATTAAATTATTTTTTACTGTGGTCATCTTGTTGTGATAGTAAATACTAGGTCTTATTATTTATTCTTTCTAATTATATTTTTACACGCATTAACCCTCCCCCTTCTTCCCCACCCCCAATTACCCTTCCTAGCCTCTGGTAACCATCCATCTACTCTCTATCTTCATGAGTTCAATTGCTTTAATTTTTAGATCACACAAATAAGTGAGAAATAGAATGCTTGTCTTTCTATGCCTGGCTTATTTCACTTAACATAATGACCTCCAGTTACATCTATGTGTAAATGACTGGATCTCATTTTTTATGGCTAAATAGTACTTCATCGTGTATATGTAGCACATTTTCTTTATCAGTTCATCTGTTGATGGACACTTGGGTTGCTTCCAATTCTTGGCTACTGTGAACAGTGCTACAATAAACACGAGAGTGCAGATATCCCTTCAATACACTGATTTATTTTCTTTGGGTATATACTGAGCAGTGGAATTGCTGGATCTTAATGGTGGCTTTATTTATAGTTTTTTGAGGAGCCTCCAAACTGTTCTCCTTTGCTTTGTGGTTGTACTAATTTACATTCCTACCAACAGTGTATGAGGGTTACCTTTTCTCCACATCCTTGCTAGCATTTGTTACTTCCTAACCTTTGGATAAAAGACATTTTAATTGGGGTGAGATGATATCTCATTGTAGTTTTGATTTGCATTTCCCTGATGATCAGTGATGTTGAGCATTTTTTCATGTGACTATTTGCCATTTGTATGTCTTCTTTTGAGAAATGTCTATTCAAATTTTTTGCCCATTTTTAAATTTAACTATTGATTTTTTCCTAGAGAGTTGTTTGAGGTCCTTATATATTCTGGTTATTAATCCTTTGACAGATGTGTAGTTTGCAAATATTTTTCCCATACTGTGGGTTGTCTCTTCACTTTGTTGATTGTTTTCTTTGCTGTGCACAAGCTTTTTTACTTGATGTGATCCTGTTTGCCAATTTTTGCTTTGGTTGCCTGTGCTTGTGGGGTGCTACTCAAGAAATCTATGCTCAGTCTAATGTTCTGAAGAGTTTTCTGGGTGGGTCCAGGGGGTACCATCCAGGAACAAGGGACTGGGGTAAAGTACCTTAGAAGTCTACCTATTGTACTGTGGCTGAGCTGGTACTCAAACCACAAGACAATGTTCTTCCCAGTCTTTCCTTCCCTTTCCAGAGGCAGAGGCGCCTCACCCTATGGCCGCCACCACCACTGGCCCACAGGGAGTACTGCCAAGCTTACTACTGATGTTCTCTTAAGGCCCAAGGTCTCTTTAGTCAGCTTGTGGTGAATGTTGTTTGGCCTGGGACTCATCCTTCAGGTCAGTAAACTCCCTTGTGGCCCAGGGCAGGTCCAGAAATGCCATCCAAGAGTTAAGGCCTGGAATCCGGGTCCCCAAAGGCCTGCTTGGTGTTCTATACCTCTGTGGCCAAGCTGATACCTAAGGTACTAGATACAACCCTTTTACTTTTCCCTCCACTTATGTCAGGTGGAAGGAGTCTTGCCCTGTAGCCACCACAGCTGGGAATGTGTTGAATCTCACCTGAAGCCAGCAAGTTTCCAAGTGTCACCCAAGGCCCATGGCACACTACTTAGGTATCACTGCAGGTTACTCAGGGCCCAAGGGCTCTTTAGTCAGCAGGTGATGAATCTTGCCAGGATTGGATCCTTCCCTTCAAGGCAATAGGTTTCCTTCTGGCCCAGGGTGTGTCTAGAAATGTTATGTGTGAGCTAGGGCCTGGAAAGGTGGCCTCACACCTCTGACTGGTGCTCTATCCTACTGTGGCTAAGCTGGTATACAAGATTCAAGACAAAGTCCTATTTATTCTTGCCTCTTCTCTCCTCAAGTAGAAGGAAGGGGTCTCTTTTGGAGCCATGAGCTATGCAGCCTGGAGTTGGGGAAAGGGTTGGCACAAGCACTCCCCTAGCCACACCAGCTGGTGTCTTAGTAGGTTGTGTGTCTCCCCATGTCCACTGACTTTGACCCCAGTTTAACACTAGAACTCATCTAGAAGTTGCAGTCCTTGTGGCCTAGACTGCCTTTCAAGTTAATCTATGGTCCCAGAGCATGTTAGCTCATGGTGGCAAGGCTTGCTAGAACTCAAGTCGTGACCACTGGGATAGGTGATTCCTCTCTGGCTAGTGCTGGTTTAAATGTTCCCCCCATGGGCAGGCATCAGCTTAGTTCCCCTGTTTTACTTTCTGCTGTGACAGGGCAGCAGTGAGTTCAATGCAGTGACTCACAATTGCTGTGATCTTCCTCCCTCAAATGCACAGATTCTCTCTCCATGCCATGCTGCCACTGCTGGGGGTTGGGGAGGGTTGACAGAGGTGATTCAAAACTGTGTTTCCTACACTCTTGAATGCCTCTTTCAGTGATATGAAGTTAAAACCAGGTACTGTGAGTGCTCACCTGATTTTTGGTTTTTACGAAGTTGCTTTTTTTTTTTTTTTTATATAGATAGTTGTTAAATTGGTGTCCTTGTAGGAGGGATGATAGGTGGAGCCTTCTTCCTCTGCCCACTTGAAGAATTTTTTTAGGTGATCTTTAAGTGTGTGTTTGCTAGTGACAAGTTCTTTTAGTTTTTCTTTGTCTAATGTCTGTATTTCCCCTTCATTATCAAACGTAGTTTTAACAGAAATCGAGTTTTCAGTTGACAGTTTTCTTTTTCTTTCAGTACTAGAAAAATATTGTGACACTTCCTTCCGGACTCCATGGAGTCAGATGTGATACGTGCATTCATTTAATTTGGTGTTTCTCTATATGGAACACATTCTTTCTCTCTGGCTGATTTCATGATTTTTGTTTTTATCTTTTGTTTTCAAAAGTTCAATTATGATATGCCTTTACATGATTTTCTTTGAGTTTATCAGGTTTGGGTTCACTCAGCTTTTTTGAATTTGTATGTCAGTGTCTGTTGCCAAGTTTTGGAAGTTTTAGCCATTATTTGCATTTAACTATTATTTCAGCCCCATTCTCTTTCTTCTGTTCTTCTGAGACTTTAATGATGCAAATATTGGATCATTTGTTATTGTCCCACAGGCCTCTGAGACTTTGCTCATTTTTTTCTCTTTCTCTCTCAGTCTTTGTCAAGTCTGGGTGAATTCTATTAATCGAGCTTCCATTTCACTCATTTTATCTTCTGTTATCTCCATCCTGGTATTGTGTTCATCACTATGTTTTTAGTTTGGTTGTTGTATTATTCAATTCTATAATTTCTATTTGATTCTTTTTTATAACTTGTATTTATTTGCTGAGATTTTCTATTTATTCATTAGTTTCAAAAAAACTTGAAATTGCTTGTTGCAGCATTTTTTTTTTTTTTTTGGCAGTTGCTTTAAAATCCTTGCTAGATAATTTCAACCTGAGGTTCATCTTGGTTGACATCTGTTGATTGTCTGCTCTCATCAAAATCGTTATTTTTTTGGTTCCTGATATGACAGGTGATTTTTGATTGAATGCTAAATTTTTTTTTCTGTTATGTTAGGAGACTCTGGGTCTTATTTAAATCTGTTATTTTAACAGGCACACACCCCATTTATGTTCAGCATGTTTTTCTTAGCCTATTTTGTATGCTGTGGTTGTGATGACAATTTAGTTTTCAGTATGTTTGAGGTATTATTTTGATCCATTTTATTTATATGTTATCACTACTGCTCCCACTGTCTTCTGCTGGTGCTTCCTGAAGGAGTGGAGGCATTTTTTTTTCCCAGGCCTGGCTGCCACATGTCTCTTGATAGAGGAGAAATGTGGTGAGAACGCTATACAAGTACCCCCTTGGCTGCCCAGGTCTTCTGAGCAGATAGAAAAATCTGACTTATGGGGCAAAGAAGTTTGTTGTACTGGGCCAGTTGCTGTATCTAGATCTCTTGCAAGTCCCGCTTACCTTTCCAGTGTCCCTGAGTGAAAAAGGAGAGGTTTGAGCCAGCAGTGACAAAGAGGCTTTTCAGATATAGCTGCTTGCAATTGCTGTTTTTTTTTTTTTTTTTTTTTTTTTTTTTCCTGGTTTCCTCAAAACTACCTTGGTGTCTTTGGACAGAAAACTCCTGAGAAAGAGAACTCCTCTTCTGCAGGATCTCAGGCCTGGAGTAGAAGGAGAGTGCTTCCCCTTGTCACTTATGATTGGTATACCTCTTAATTGATCCCCAGGCTGGCATTGTCTGGCTCACCTGGTGTGTTCAGGGGGGCTCCTGTTTGATCCAGAAAAAGAATGATTCTAACTAGGTCAGCGGGCAAAGAATACTGGGTCTGCGTGGCCTTTCTCTGTTGGTTGGGGGATTGTGAGACACCCTGCTGCTATTGTTCCTCCAGTCCCAGAGTTCTAAATCAGCCAGTTCTCCTTTTCACCACCTTTCATCATTCTCTTTTGCTTGCCTCGTGTACCATTTTCAGGGTTTATAGTTGTGTTTAGTAGAAGGAACAGGAAAAAATAGGCTTATGCTATTTTTTTCTGGACCAGAAGTTTGTATTTGTTTGTTTCTCTCCATTAGATTGTAAAATTCTTGAGGTCCAGGGGAGTTTTATTTTTTTCTATAATCTAAATTGTATATACTCAGTGAATGTTTTGTGAATAAAGTTAGTCCAACTGGATCTGAACTACTCCCTAATGGCATGACTGGAATGTGATTAAAAAAAACTGTTGGAGTGAGCACATTTATTTTTACTTCAGAGTTTCTGTATATGGATCAGACATGTAATGAACCTTCTATTTGTTATGGAGTGAACCCTGAAAAAAGAAGAAAGAAAACAGAAACTACATGATTGATTTCTACATTTTCGTACATCAACCTGGACTTCCAAAGTGCCCTAGTTGGTAGATGATATAATTAGTGATTTTCAGAGCTTTTTTTTATGTGTCTCCCAAAACTATGACCTTCTTTTATATTTAAAAATATCTACGATTTTCATCATTAGTTTGAACACTTGTAAAGAGGTAATGGCTTATATATAGTGAGTGTTACGATTTAAAAATAAAATACTTATATGCCTTTTTAAAATGTATCCAGTAGAATGAAAATATCAATAATATGTTAGCAGGTGAAAAAATTACCTCTTTTCTTTTCCTCTTAAATTTGTAGCTCCATTCCATTTTTCACCACAGCATCACATCCTAATGTATTACATTTTTATGCTTAGAAGTTTTTTTCATGATCACCAGGAATAAAGTGCATAGGTAATTTGTCTATAGTTTATGTCTATATAGGTATATGTACATATGAACCTATATGTGTGCATCAAATAAACAGCTATATGTTTAAATATACTTGCTATAGTCATAAATCCATGCATATTTTTAATAATTCTTATAAATGATATTATTAATACAAATTGATTTAAACTCCATATATCAAACTAAGTTTGACGAGTTTTTTTTTAACAGAAAAGCAAAGTATTACTGGAAATATTTATAATCAGATGAATGGAGCATTTTAAACTTTTATTTAGTTAGCATGTTTATGGATGATAGATACTTATTGCTTATGTGAATCCCACATGCATTTTATCCCTATTTAAAATTTTTTGATATGGATGCTGAGAGAAGTTGTCTCCATAATGAGTAGATTGGAATGAAAGGATTTTATTGTAGTAATATCTCTCAATTTTTTCAACTCCGTAAAGTTATAGGGTAAAATTACAGCAGTTGTTTATCAAGTGTTATTTTTAACAATGTGTCAGCTACGTCAGTTGTATTCCCCTCTTTTAATGTTGATGAAAGAAAACTGGATAAACACATTTATGTAAATGGATTTGTTACCTAGTAATTTTGGTCACTCACTTTATCAATATCAACACCAATATTTTCAATTGTCCCTTAGTTTGGTGTCCCAGAGATGTTTCCACTCCAAAGCAATGCATCACCATTAAACTAAGAAAAGATGACATCTATTTCTCCTTTTGTATAAATAAATGGGAGAGGAATTGTGAAAAATGGGCTGAGAAAACAAAATATGCATAGACCTCTTTGTTCTATTTGTATCAGCAAATATACCGAATGAGATAGTAAAATGAGAAGATGCCTTTATACCATTGGAAGGTATTGTTTACCTATTAGGGCATCCCTGAGTTTAATGACCACTTGTACTTAGCCTTGTTGTGTTTGTCATTCTCTTCTTTTCTAGAGATTCCTTATACTATTGTCCTTATTTTTTTTAAATTTAATTTAATTTTATTATTATTATACTTTAAGTTTAAGGGTACATGTGCACAATGTGCAGGTTAGTTACATATGTATACATGTGCCATGCTGGTGTGCTGCACCCATTAACTCGTCATCTAGCATTAGGTATATCTCCCAATGCTATCCCTCCCCCCTCCCCCCACCCCACAACAGTCCCCAGAGTGTGATGCTCCCCTTCCTGTGTCCATGTGTTCTCATTGTTCAATTCCCACATATGAGTGAGAATATGCGGTGTTTGGTTTTTTGTTCTTGCGATAGTTTACTGAGAATGATGATTTCCAATTTCATCCATGTCCCTACAAAGGACATGAACTCATCATTTTTTATGGCTGCATAGTATTCCATGGTGTATATGTGCCACATTTTCTTAATCCAGTCTATCATTGTTGGACATTTGGGTTGGTTCCAAGTCTTTGCTATTGTGAATAGTGCCGCAGTAAACATACGTGTGCATGTGTCTTTATAGCAGCATGATTTATAGTCCTTTGGGTATATACCCAGTAATGGGATGGCTGGGTCAAATGGTATTTCTAGTTCTAGATCCCTGAGGAATCACCACACTGACTTCCACAAGGGTTGAACTAGTTTACAGTCCCACCAACAGTGTAAAAGTGTTCCTATTTCTCCACGTCCTCTCCAGCACCTGTTGTTTCCTGACTTTTTCATGATCGCCATTCTAACTGGTGTGAGATGGTATCTCATTGTGGTTTTGATTTGCATTTCTCTGATTGCCAGTGATGGTGAGCATTTTTTCATGTGTTTTTTGGCTGCATAAATGTCTTCTTTTGAGAAGTGTCTGTTCATGTCCTTCACCCACTTTTTGATGGGGTTGTTTGTTTTTTTCTTGTAACTTTGTTTGAGTTCATTGTAGATTCTGGATATTAGCCCTTTGTCAGCTGAGTAGGTTGCAAAAATTTTCTCCCATTTTGTAGGTTGCCTGTTCACTCTGATGGTAGTTTCTTCTGCTGTGCAGAAGCTCTTGAGTTTAATTAGATCCCATTTGTCAATTTTGGCTTTTGTTGCCATTGCTTTTGGTGTTTTAGACATGAAGTCCTTGCCCATGCCTATGTCCTGAATGGTAATGCCTAGGTTTTCTTCTAGGGTTTTTATGGTTTTAGGTCTAACGTTTAACTATTGTCCTTAGATAGGCACTTCCTCTGATAGCTGACTAGATACTCTGTTGTCCTCAGAGGTCAACTGTCTTTATATGCTGTGGTGTGTATGAAGCCAAAACAAGATTTCAAGATTTTTTTACAAGAGGAAGAGAAACTAACAGGAGATGCAGAGAAATCATTATATATTACCAAAATCTTAACACTGAAGTAGACTCTGTCTCTCTTTTTCTCTCTCCCCCGCTCTCTCTCTCTGTGCGAAGTGTGGAGATTCCTAAGAAATTATTCTTAAGACCTTTTCCTATATCCAAAGTATGATAATATACTTAGGGGTACTTTTTAACCATGAATGTCTAGCCAAATAGAAAATGTATGTAACCTTATATGGTTTGTATATAAGATGATAATGGATTTTTACAAACTTGTAGGAACACATGCTACAAATATGCTACAGTGAATTTTTTAGAAATACATATGGAAAATAAATTGTACTTACATTTTGTAAGTACTTACATCTTGTACTTACATCTTGTTTTAGACCCTAAATGATATGTTACAGCATCACTGCATTCTTTTATTTCATAAGATTTGGAGACATTCAAACTATTTATTTGGGATGACATACCATGCACTTAGATGCATAAAGTCTCATTTCTTTGTTAAAAATGTAACCCATTACCTTGTTTTCATATCTTTATTTCATAATTCCTTTTATTGACAAACATGCCACCAGTAGACCTGTAAATAAACTGAAATGTCTTTTAAGGGCTTAAGTGTCCATCTATATTCCCCTACATATTTAGCTATCAGGCTCTTATGATTGTTAAATTAATTATGTGGCCTTCTTTTCTCCTCCCTAGGTTGATTCCATCCTGTCAATTGGAAATTGAATCAGTAGTTAATTTTGGCACACTGGTTGCCAATAGTAAAGTATATTCTAAAGAGATTACTATCACTAACCATGGCAAAGCTCCAGGTAAATCCTTCCTGTCATATTTACTTACACTTTTAGAAGAGTTGGTATTATTTGAAATGTATACCTTGTGTAATAGATTACCTAATTTAACTGAAAAAAGGTCTATCATTTCAAATAGCTCAAAACCAAAGGTCCTTAATAGTATTACTGTAAAAGACTGATAGGCAACAATTCAAGAAAAATGAACCTTCCTCCTTATGATCCTGATTAATACAGTCAGAAAATGGTGAAATCCCTCAGGATAGGAGGCAGGATAGTGTCAGAGAAGTTACATAGTTCAGAGACAGAATTAGAGCACAGCGCCTTATTAGTTGTGTGATCTGGGGCAAGTATTTTTAAGGATTTTGAACTTGAGATTCCTCATTTATAAACGGGTGCTGATAAAATGTATGATGATGAATTATGTACATACTTTAAACTGTGGTATGTTACTTGGCTCATCATAGATGCTTAATAAATATTTGTCTTCTTTCTCAATCATATTCAACTTTAATTTAATGTCAAACTCCCCAGAAGGCTTTTACTAATTCTTTTTTGAAGGAATAAATACTTCTCTCTTTTCCAGATTTAATTATTTCCAGGGATTCTTACTGTGGCCTAAGAGTTTACATAAGGATGTGTGTGTGTGTCTGTGTGTGTGTGTGTGTGTGTGTCTGTGTGTGTATATTCATATACACTTTAAATTGATAGCATACAATAAGCATAGGATTGCTTATCCCTTCAGTGTCCTGATTCAATGGCATGTGGGGTTGCAAGATTGCCATTTCTCCCAATCTAAAATGAGGACTAGCTCCAGACAGGGAGGGTATTTCTATCTGAGACTGTTTGTTGAATATATAAAGTAGGTCTTAAATCCAAGCTTCTATTCCACTAACTGAGAGTGTTCTCTGGGGCCACCTGATTGAGCATTGGGAATTATGAAGACAAAGGCAGTCTGTCAGTTTACTGATTTCTTCTTAGGATACAAAGGAATAAAACTCATAACCGTTCCACATTGGATGTTACTCATCTCACTTTCTATGCTTTGGTTTTTAAATGAGTGCATGTCTGATGCCTGTGGGATTATAGAATTAGGCTCGTTTGTGGCCTGACTCGAGTGTTAAGGAGGAAGTCTCTTACAGCAAGTGATATGGGCAATATGATCCTTTAGACTCTCTAGTTATATTTTAGAGCACTGATATTTAATTAAGGTATTTTTATTTGTATTATTTTACTTTCCAGAATTTCTTTTAACTGTTGTATATTCAATAACCTTCAATGTTTTGATAGCAATAATATATTCCCTTCTTGTTCTAAAATCTCACCAAATTTTACAGTTTCATTTCATATGAAAACTCTCTGTAAGTAAAAAAGGAATATGGTTTTACTTTTCATTGAACATTTAATATAATTTTACTCAATAAATTAGAATAAGTACAATTAAGCTGCAGACCAGAATACATAATGTTTTAGGAAAAATACTGCGCATTGGCTATTAGGATTATGTTAGTATTTTATTTGTATATAGTATTTGTAATACCTTGGTTGGGTTTATTATACTTGAGTACTGTGAAATGTTAATGGCTATTACCTTACAAACTGAAACAAATTGTGATCAATGAATTACATTTTCTTAGTGTTGACTTTATCCCACATGCTTGGAATCAAATCAGATTATTGTTTCTACTATTATCAAAATTGATACTGTATATTACATTCAGATTAGCTAGTGCCTATAAAGTGTCATAAAGTCCTTATCATCTACAAGCAAAATATATACGTGTTCATGATAATAGCAATGTATATTCATGAAGAAAAACATTCTGAAAATAGATTCAGCCATCAAAGTTGATTTTAATAACATTTTTAAAAAACATTTTATATGGTGAATTTTTTGTAGGTTTAGAGTCAAAGTTCAAATGCTTACAAATTTGTATGTATACTTAATAGGATATTTAAAACTCAACACTTGGCAGATTTAACATTTCCACATCTTTGTTTTCTCTCTCTGGTAGTATCACTGCAGTTATAACCTTTGTTTTTATAGACCCCCAAAGTTTATGTGTGTAACAACTCCTTGATGATTTATTTTAATAGTCTCTTATGGAGTAAACATCCATGGATCTAGCCATATGTTGTTGAATAACTTTTGTTTCCTCATCCTTTATAGAAATGGTTCCCAAATTTACCCCTGACTGTACAAAGCAGTGCTCATCTTTTCTTTCTGAAGACATGGTCCATTCTTTATGGTGTCTCTAATGTTAGTACTTTGTAGGTTAATAAATTCCATATTTACTTTTATGATTTTATGGCTTGATAATACCACTATTGTTTCTCAGCTTTTATCACTGAAGATTAGAAAAAGAAATTATTAATTTAGCATGCCTTGAATTAAAATCATTTCTTCCTTAATGTGAGCATACTTATTTATTTATTATTTTTTAAAATTTTTGTGGGCACATGGTAGGTGTATATATTTATGGAGTACATGAGATGTTTTGATACGGGCATCCAATGTGAAATAAGTACATCATGGAGAATGTTGAGTAGACTTTTTCTACTACAGTATTATAACATAGAACAGTTTCTCAAATTCCTAAGTGAGAGCCTTACATATCATTTCTGAGTTTGAACATCTGCCTCAGAACTTATCATCCTTTAGGTTTATTTGGTCTACTTTGTCCAAAATATATGACCTTTCATTTGCTCTTAAGGCCCACTCTGCCTTTTCCCCTAATCAGCAGCATCATTTCTCTACTTCATTGTCTAAAATATCCTGGAATCAACTGTAAACCAGGAAATTTGTCAAACTGTACCAAACCCAGAAGTGGTCCTGGGGATCTTCCTTAGTAACTCACAAAAGCACCCCCTACTTATTCTCAGTGCATAATTCTTGTCTTCAATTTTTTTTTGGAAACTGATGCCATGGCATCTCCATATATTCTTCATGCATAACATAACCCTAATTTATAGGATTATATATTTTGACATAATCATAATTTATTTGGTTTAGTGATTTCTTGGAGTTTCACTAAAGAACTATGAAGCTTTTAATGAAAGATGATTAAACCCAGAAGGAACCTGTTAAATCCATATGAGCATTCTGAAGAATCTCTAAAAATTAGTCATTTGGAAACATGTGGAGCCTCATACATATTTAGTGTGCTTAGAACCAAGGGAATTTTAAAAAATCATAAGAAATAGCAATAGCCTGGGGTACATGACAACTGATTTTTAATAACATTCTATAGAACTACAGAATCTGGTTACCCTGGCTTGATCTTACAGATACTCTGAGGCAAAAATCTGCTTAGCAGTTCCTAAAAATTTTTTCAAGGAGTATAGACAGTGTAACCATGTATACTGCACCACTTAGTGTCTAATTTGCTTCTCTAGAGAAGATAGAAGAATCCAGATTCAAAAATCACACAGATTTGTGTGAGGGACCCCTCATCGCAGCTGTAGCTGTGGGTACCCTTATGTTTTATGTGCCCCCACTAACTCTTATCAGTGGGCAAGTCTATAGGTCTGTTTTACATGGCTTATTGGCAAAAGTTGACATAGTTAGCCACTGCCACTTTCTTGGGAAAACAAAACAAAAACAATTCAAAGCCCTTTGGCTTCTGTGACAACTCACTCTCTTATATAGAATGCTAATTAATAACTCAGGTCCTGAAGTGTGGTTGAATAGGGCCCAAATCTTAGTTGCATCATTTACTATCTGGGAGGCCCTGGGTAAGGAATTTGCACTTCCAAAACATCCATTGTCTGACTTACACATTAGAGATAAAGATAGTACCTTCCTCCTCTAATGGTGGTGATGATTAATAAAATGCTTAGCACACTCTCTGGCATATATAACTTTTCAGTAAATGTTAGCTATTTATGTTATAATTATTATTTTTCTACCACCTCTGCCCTCTTCAGTTCTCTTTCCTAGACTGGTGTTTCTTTTTGTGGTATATTAAATGTGAATGTTTCCTAAGGTTTGCCACAGACTCTTATGTTTCTTCAGTCAAGGTACTCTCCTTGGACCATCACTTCCCTTCCTTTTACTTCACTGACTACTCCTAGATCTATACAATCCTTTGGGTATCCTTCAGTTTTCTCAAACTTAACAGCTTCCCCCAATACTTCTTTTTTCTTTGTCAATTAATGTTACCACTATGTATTTGGAGAGTTCCAAAACTTGGCAAAATTTTCAACACCTCTCTCTTTTTCACTTCCTACCCCCTTAGTCAATTAGTAAATCTTATCTGTTCACTTCATAATTAAGCCAGTAATACTACTTTTCTCTGCCCAATGCCACTTTTTTTACAAAAAGCCATTATCTTCCCCTGCTGAATAACTACATTAACCTAAATTATTTTCCTGACGTTACTTCCTTTTAGTTTATTTCCCACACATTAGCCAGTGCCATATCTGAGAAGAAATGAAAATTTGATCACAAATATTCCATTTTTAACATTCTTTTTTCTTCTTCTTCTCCTTCTCTTTTTTTTTTTTTTTTTTTGAGACAGAGTCTCACTGTGTCACCCAGGCTGGAGTGCAGCGGCGTGCTCTTGGCTCACTGCAACCTCCGCCTCCCAGGCTCAACCGATTTTCCTGCTTCAGCCTCCCCAGTAGCTGGGATTACAGGTGTGCGCCACCATGCCCAGCTAATTTTTGTATTTTCAGTAGAGATGGGGTTTCACTATGTTGACCAGGCTGGTCTCGAACTCCTGACCTCAAGTGATCCTCCCACCTCCGTCTTCCAAATTGCTGGGATCGCAAGCATGAGCCACCGCACCTGGCCAACATTCTTTTTTTCAATAACTCTCTTCTCTTAGGATGATATTCTTGCTTCTGTTGTTAGCAATTTAAAAAGCCAAACAAATGGTTTTTGTATTAAAGTTAAATAAGACATAGTAATGTTGACATACCTGCAATTTAAACATATTTAGAAAATTAAACAATATTCTTTTGTATTTTGTGTTGCTTCTGAATAAGTTTTTGAAATATTCACTTAAACTCTTTTGTCAAATTATGTCTAAGTAGTTACAATATGGGAAACTTTTTCACTGACTCAGTCCTAACTAAATTTATATACCTTTTTTTCTTACAGAATGGAGTCAATAATACCTATTTATTTGAAATGGATATAATTTTATATATTTTTGATTTATGATATAAAATTAACTTCAAATATTATGCTGTTAGCACATCTATGAAATGATTGAAGTGACCAATTTTGTTACTTTGCATTTTCAAATATTGTCTTTTTAATATTTTCATTACTTTTATTGTGCTAACATTTTGTTTTCCTAAATTAAATGAATACATTTGGAAAATATCATCAGATGTGATTTAAGACTGGTGATTTCAGAATTTGCCAAACTGTTTATTTTAGCACCATGCTCATTTGTGTTATAATGATAATAAAGGGACTAGTGATTGGCTGCTTCTATTTGTTGGCCATACTTTAAGTACTGCTTAGTGCTAAGCAGTGTGTGGGGTGCTGTGACCACAGACATGAGAAAGAGATTGTATCTGATTTCAAGGACCACATGCTGTAATATAGGCACAAAACATTACCATAAATTATGAACCATTTCTGCTTTCAGAATAAGAATCTTTGTACCCTCCTTCTCATATGCCATTTGATTTCAGAAACCAATCCCCTTTGCCCTTATCCTGTGTGAACTGGATAAATTCATCTCCTAGGGAATGGTAATAACTATAAGTATGAACCTGTGGTCAGAAATATCCAAGTGAAAATCTCATCTTCATTAGTTAGTTACTAACTGTAGTAGTTATTGCTATATAACAAACCACCCTAAAATATCTTCAAACAGCAGTTATTTTTTAATTGGTCATGTGGTTATGTGTATGCAGATTGGCTGGAACTTGACTGATCTAGGCTGGGCTCATCTGGGTGCTCTGCTTCAAGCTGAAGCAGCTGGGCCTGTTCTGTTTCTCACTGCAGGTCTGTGGGTCAGCTGGGTGGCTCTGCTCCACATTTGCTCATTCTAGGGCATGGGCCAAAAGGACAGCAGTTACTCAGGAGAAACACTTCCCAAAGTCAAGGGGCTTGATCATGTGATTTGCTTTGGCTAATAACATGTGGGTGTAATTGATAGCATGCCAGTTCCAACCTAGATGCACTTCTACCATGGGAGGTGGGAAGTGTTTTATCCTGTGTAATTGCTGTCCTTTTGGCCCATGCCCTAGAATGAGCAAATGTGGAGCAGAGTCACCCAGCTGACCCACAGACCTGCAGTGAGAAACTCTGGAACAATAGGGTAAAGATACGAATGTGGAAAAAGGTGAAGAATTGTGGTCAGCAAGCTAATCTACCACAGTAGTTGTGTGACCTTGAACAAGTCATTCATCATTTCAAAACTTCTATTTTGTTACTTGTAAAATGGAGGTAATGATTGAAAATATTATATCATAGATTATTTACGGAAATTAAATAACCTATGCAGAGCTCTTAACATAAGTGTCTGAACGTAGTAAGCAGATAATTTTAACTATTGGTGAGACTTGAATTCTAACAACAGGATCATATTTGTTGGGTGACCTCAGATATTGGACTTACAATTAAAGCTTTAATTCTTGGTACACTGTAGACCATCTGCTCCAGGGGTATTCAATCTTTTGGCTTCCCTGAGCTACGTTGGAAGAAGAAGAATT
Source organism: Homo sapiens (assembly GCF_000001405.40). Lineage (NCBI taxonomy): Eukaryota > Metazoa > Chordata > Mammalia > Primates > Hominidae > Homo > Homo sapiens. The sequence goes on from NC_000023.11 coordinate 35,948,053, forward strand.
GTTTTGGGCCACACATCAAATACACTAACACTAATGATAGTTGATGAGCTTAAAATGTCTCAAAAAATCTCATAATGTTGTAAGAAAGTTTATGAATTTGTGTTGGGCTGCATTCAAAGCCGTCCTGGGCTGCATGTGGCCCATGGGCCATGGGTTAGGCAAGCTTGGTCTACTGGGTAAAGTATGTTGGTCCCCTACTGAGAGTGTACATGCAACATTGTAAGGGTCCAGATGTAAATCAACTGCTCTTATTCCCTATAGGCATATTTAAGGCAGAATACCACGGCCAATTACCCATCCTCATTTTTCCAACTAGTGGTATCGTGGATGCTAAGTCATCAATGGTTATTAAAGTAGATTTCTGTGCAGACCAGCCAAGAATTGTAGATGAAGAGGCAATGTGAGTATATACTGTGGTTCTAAAAATTATAATACAGATCTCAATGCTTTCCCGTTTAACCCTGCAGATGTGACTTTGATTGTATGTTAGCTCCTTTGTTCTTCCATTCAGCGTTGTTCATTGAGTCTCTACTATTTGCCAAGCAGTAGGTTTTTAAGAAATGGGAAGAACTAGAGGATAGCATATGGGTACACATAACAGGATCTTCTATTTTGAATTTCATTGAGGTGAGAGAGTGGACCAGGGAAGGGCTCCACTAACAAGGTGATAGTTGAATCAAATACTTACTGGTGAGTAGTAATTAGCCAGGCAAAGAGCAGTGATGTGATTTGGGGTGTGTGTGTGTGCGTGTGTGTGTGTGTGTGTAGGGGTGGTGGGAGTTAGTGATGGGAGTAGCATAGAGGAGGGATTTCAGGCAGAGCAAGTAACATACTGGAAATCCTAGAGGCAAAAAGACAGTGTTGCACACCAAGGCATCTTTGGCAATGTAGAATTAAAAAGATGGAGGTGGGGAGTGACAGGAGACAAGACCAGAAAAACCAAATGGAATGTCTAGTTTGAAGGGCTTTGTAGTCCAACATTTTTGTGCGGTATGTCTTAATTCATTGCTAGAATGTGCAGTCAATATAATGAGCCATCACCAGTATTTTTAACAAACGACTTAAAAATATCAGAATGCATCTGTGGAGTGTGTGTGTGTGTGTGTGTGTGTGTGTGTGTGTTCCGGCACTGGAATATAAAATACTTTTTTTACTGAAGGTCACAGCCATAAATATGTGATAAACAGGTGTGAACCCTGATAGGAGCTTGGGTTTTATTGTGAAGGCTATGAAGTCTTAGGAGGGTTTTAGGATGAGAGTGTCATGATTAGTTTGTATTTTAGAAAGGTCCTCCTAGTGGCAGTGTGCAAAACAGACCAGGGAGTACAAATGTGGAGTGAGAATCTTGACTAGAAATTACAGTAAAGCAAGAGGAAAATGATAAAGGTCTGAGATAAGGTCAACTGAGAAGACTGATAGAAGTGTGCAAATTGGAGATAGGTTGTAGAAGTAGATTTGACTAGATTTGGTGACTGATTGTAGCAAAGGAAGATAAAAGGTGGAACAGGGTTATGGGAGAGGATCTTAAATTCAGTTTTGATATGTTGGAATGGTTTTACTTTTCAGATTCCTGGTGGAGCTGGCTGCAGCTTATTAAATTATCTTGAGTCCCAGAAAGAAATTTGATTTAGATGTACAAGTTGAATGTTCCTTACTCAAAATACTTGAGATCAGAAGTGTTTTAGATTTCAATTTTGTTTGGATTTTGGAATATTTGCATTATACTTACTAGTTTAGTAACCCTAATCTAAAAATCTGAAATCCGACATGCTCTAATAAGCATTGCCTTTGAGTTTTATATCAGCATTCAAAAAGTTTGGGATTTTGGAGCATTATGGATTTCATATTAGGAATACTCAGCCTGTATAGGGTTGAAGATCATCAGTGTATAAGTGGTAGAAGAAACAGAAGTGTTGAGAATAACTTTGAGAAGGAGAGTAGAATGAGAAACAGTAAGAGAAAAAACACTACTATTCATGTTAACTATTTATCAAGTTTAAAAAAGGTCCCAGTCTTAGAAGAGTGAGAAGGTGGGGCCTGAGTGAGTTAAAAGAAAACCTTGAAATTATGGTGTCAAGGAAGCTAAGGGAGGAGCAATTCAATGCCCAATGTTATAGGATATAGTGTAAGATAAGGGTTAGGTGATAGTTGTGGAGTAGTCAGTTATCTGTGGTATCTGATGGGCCTAAATTGAAAGATTGCATTTATGCCAGAGTGGAATAAAATGAAAGAGCAGTTCCCAAAGAGAATTGAAATTCATTTGAGAAGTGAAGTTAATGGGGAAATGTTTATTTCAGCAAAGAAGTGGGATTTTTGTTTCGTTTTGGTTTTGAGATGGGGTCTCTTCCTGTCACCTTGACTGGAATGCAGTGGTGCAATCACGGCTTACTGCAGCCATGACCTCCCATGCTCCAGCAATTCCCCTACCTCAGCCTCCAGAGTAGCTGGACCTTAAGGTGTGTGTCACCATCCCTGGCTATTTAAATTTTTGTTGTTGTTGTTGTAGAGATAGGGTCTCACTGTGTGGCCTAGGCTCGTCTTGAACTCCTGGACTCAAGCAATTCTCCCTCCTTGGCTGCCCACAGTGCTAGGATTACAGGTGTGAGATCACACCCAGGCAGCAGTGGGTTTTACTGAGGTACGTTAGATTGTAAGGAATTGAGGTGTAAGGATGGGGATGAGATAAGCTGTTGGACTTGGGAGATGAGAAGAATTAGAAAAGAATTTCAGAATTTGAGAGCTAGAGGTAACCATACAAATCATTTAAATAATTGGCAATATGAATATGCCATTGAGTTTTTTCTGGGTTCAATTCATGAGATTGTTTTACAACTTTACTGTTTCCTGAAGACAGTGAATTAGGCTGCACATATGCCATTCCATTTTGTAGATTCAGATATACAGAAGAACCTGATAACCTCTGGTATGTACGTGAAAGGAACTACTCTTAGGCTACTGAATTTTAATGATAATGTGATTCTATAAAGTTTCTGTTTGTCGAAATGTGTGGGAGAAAAACAAAGTATATAGAATTCTAATTAAAATATGTATGTATGTGCATATCTTATTATCCTGTAGAGTGATTTTGCAAGGTCAACCTGAGATGCTCTTGAGTATCAAAGCTCATGTGGTTGAGCAGATTATTGAATTATTAAGCATGAGTAGTGACAGAAGGCTGGAATGCATACACTTTGGTCCTGTTTTCTTCGGATCATCAAAAATTAAACATGCACGTGTATACAATAATAGCCCAGAGCCCATAAATTGGGTGGCCATCATACAAGATGATGCCGTGGGAGAAGAATTGGTAAGTAAGTGGTGCGACAGGGATATCAGATATTATGACTTAAAAGAGATTGTGTTAAATCTAATAATAACCAACAAGCTTTTTAATTATTCAAAATATCTTTTAACATGGGCAGATAGATTTGATTTTATGTGTATCCAATAGCAACCTCAAAAAATTCAGAAATTAAGCTAACATTTATAGTAATATATATCTGAAGTAAACCAGACAAGTGCTTCTTATAGATCAGTGGCTAATTGAAGGTATTTCTGTTCTCATCAATTTTTTAATCCTTTTTCAAATTGTATGATGTGCCTTGGTCAAATTTATGTGTAAATGTTACTTTAAAGATAGATATTTGCTATTTCCTAGATTCTGGAATTTCAATAATTATTTTGTAACCTCCTCAAAAATTTTTTTGTGTTTTGCCTTAATACTCTTTTATATCTGACTTTATATTACAGGGTACAGATATTCAACAAAGAACAGATATTGCTTTAAATAATCTCACCTACATAAGAAAAATAAAGAACATAGATACTACTATCATTATCTCCTGTCTTCCTAATGAAGGGACTTTACAACCTTATCAAAAGACTGTAATTACATTTTGTTTCACCCCAAAGTAAGCAAAAATTAATTTCATTGTAATGTTAAATATTAATGGAAAGTATATTAACCACACTTTAATCAGATTCACTTTAATACTATAATAGTAAAACTTGCCAGAAGGCACAAGTCAGATTTTTCTTGTCATGGTTCTAGATGTTTCTAACATGGTTAGTAATATTTCTAATAATTCTAAATATGGTTCTAAATACTTCATGTAAAGTTAAAAATATCCCTAGACCTTGTGGAAATGGGGTGGTGGAAGTGCAAGTTTTGAGTTGTTTTGGAGTGTGGCCCCAAATTGTTTGTGCAGTCAAGACCTTGTTGTCCCCACGAATAGTCAGGTGCATGCAGCATGTCGTAGGTCCCTCCAAAGAGGATGCAATACTTCTGGCAGGGCAGAATTATTGCTGACTATCCTAAGTATTAAACCTATAGCACCTTCCAGGGATCAGTCAAACTTGTTTGCTGAAATTCATACAGACTTTTAGCACTTAAGCCAGTGTACATTTTTCATAATTCCATGAACTTTGTTTTGTTATTAAATTTGAAGAGCATGCTGTTTTAAATATATAATAGCAATTTCAGTGACACCTTGATAAGTTGTAATATGTGTGAACTGATTCAATTGCAAGAATATTTTCCCTTGTTTGTGAGAGGGTAATGTTTAATGTACTTCTTGTTTGTGGAACAGGGTTGCCTGTTGAAGATTGAGCTTGCTTTAATTTAAAGAGGTTAATAAATCAAGTAATTGTTCTATATGTAAATCCACAATTGCCTTATTAATGATACCTTCATACAAGTAGTTTCTTTGGTGAATCTGTAAGATTCTGTTTAATACACAATCTTTGAAATTTGAAATATTCTATTCTTTTTTCATGGCAGCATGTTAACTTGAGAGTCTAGCATAGAATCATAGGTATATGTATGATTTGAAGTCTTAGTTAAATGTGTTCTGACCACACTATTTGTATTCATATTTAATATTACATGTCAGTATTTTGTAAATGTAGTTGAGTTTGCACTACTAGAGAGCTGACCTCTAGGTAAGGCAGGTAAAAATAGCCAATGAGCAGACCTATGACATAAACCATCTCTGCCTTTACTCCTATTTCCCTTCTTCCTAGCCTTCCTTTCCTTTTCTCCTCAAACAAAATTTAACTGTTAGCAATTCGTGTTCTCCAAATTACTTGTCCACAACAAGAGCATGGCTGGCAATATGCACTTAGTACATTGGGGAAGACAAATTTGTAACAAATGTTTTTTATTATGCCCAAGAGTAAGATGGACTATTGTAAAGAATTAATCAGAGTCCTTAGTTAGAGATGAATTTTGTCTGGAAGAAAATTCTTTGCAGAGAAAGTGGCATTTGAGCTAGACCTTGATGACTTGGTATATTTAAATTACTCTTGTCTTGACGATGTTGGCACGAACTCATTTTTCTCAGCTTTATACTCTGTAGCCTTCTTTTGGCAAATCTCTCTGGCTGTGCAGTAAATTTGGATAATGGATTACAGTTGTATTTTCATTCCTTAACATTCATTTGCTTGCATAGATTTAAAGATTGGATTGATATTTCCTCTTACAAGGTGATAAAGTATATCAACTTTGCTTTAAAAATAACTCATTGTGATTTTTTTACAGGCTAATGGCTGTTGGTAAAAAGGATATTGGACCTTCATACAGACAGGACTATGCTCTCTTTTTGAGATTTGAGTCCGTAGGAAGTAAAGATGGATTTTTGAGAGATGATGACTATAAAACCATCAAAAGTAAGTGTGAAATTAACAAAATTATCAAATCCGTAGCCATTTAAATTGTTTAAAAATTTGAACATGAATATCTGTAGAGACAATCTAATAAAATATATAATTATTGAATAGAAAAAAAAGCAAACATGTTCAAGAGACCTTAAAGTGTCATCTGTGGCATGTTAAGAAGTCAACTTCACAATCATTTACATAATAATTTTCCAGGTTGGAAGTTAGGTTATAATTTTAAATGATGTTAGATAAACATGATGATCTAGGGTTTAAGGAATAAGAAAAAAAAACCCGGATTTGTTTTCTATGTATGCCTAGGTTTTTTCTCAGGGATTGGTATGGGGACAAATGACCCTTTCCATCTCTACTAATCCTTCAGCTCTCTTAGAATCTACAAATAGGAACAGTAAAAAACAAGATCTAGAGATCTAGTTAGTAGGGTACAGGACAGTGTTATTGGATACTGATAATTGCACATGTTTTGCAGGCCACATGTCAATATGCCTTATATGTTTTATATTCTCAGGTTATATTAGGTTGGTTATAGTGAGGAAAAAAATGGAATGGGACTTGGAGTTCAGCTTAGCAAGACAGATCAAAGAGAAAATAGAGAATTAGGAAGGTTAGGAATCAAATCCAGGAAAATGAACTATACCAAGGAGGGATTAGATCACCATCCTGGATATTTATGCAAATCGAGTGTGTCAGTATAAGTGATATTGAGCAGGATTTAACTGTATTCCTTGGGCATAAATGGATTGTTCTGTTACTATTTATATTGTGTTTTGTGATATTGAGCTACGTCTGCTGATCCTAGACAGCAATGAGAATTCCACATTTGTACAAAGTTTACAGGTTAATCCAGTTTTGAATAGCCAGGGATGGAGTTACTAGGTTTGCCTTAAAGATAATTTAGTCTAAGATTGGCTACTAAGAGCATTAGTGAAAAAATGCAAACTCTTTTTCTTTGGTTCTAGTTACACTGCTCTCTCTCTGCAAAATTGTTCTTCTGTTATCATCTTTCTGGTTTCCCAAAAACTTCATGTTTATATTTTTGCCCAGCTTCTATTCCATTGTCCATTATTCTAATTATTCTTTTTCATGTGCACTTATATCTGTTGGTCTGTCTCCCACAATGACTGAGTGAAAAGCCTCTAATTCTATGAAATTCAGCTTTCAGCTTACATTGGGTCTGCACATGGGAATCTGATTGTGTTGGAGAAAAACATACAACCTTGTTGAGAGGTTTCACTTTGTATCTGTAATCACTAATCCCAAGTGAGTTCTTTAAGCTGTTTGGCATTCCCTATTGCATTCACCCATTCATTCACTCTTACACAATCTGAGATGAATATCACACACCTTTTATTCTCTCCTCAAGTCTCCACTCTTTCCTCCTTCGTCTTCACTTGTAAGCTTGAACACAGAGTGGTCTAGTAGACATTTCCATAAGAATATCTACTAGTTATCTCAACTTAACATGTCCCAAACAGAACTCCTGATTTTTCCACAACCGGCTCCTCCTTCAGTCTCTTGTTTCAAGAAATGGCAATTCCATCATTTTGGTTGCTAAGGCAAAAAACTTAGAGTCATCCTTTATCACTTCTTCATTTCCCTATTCTGTGTCCAATATATCAGCAAATCTTCTTAAGCCTACCCTCAAAAATATATCTAAAAATCTGACAATTTTTCTCCATTTTTCTACTCTTCTCCTCCAGCCATTTGTTCTTTAAAGGCGTTTGAACATGACAGACAAGTTCCTGCCCTAGCGTATTTGTGCTTGCTGTTCTCTCTGCCTGGAATAAACTTTTCCTAGATTTTCACATTTTTTTCCAGACTCCCTTTATATCTTGGCTCAAGTATCTCCCTATCAGAGAAGCCTTTTTGGACATCTCTACATAAAACAGAATCCCCAAGACCTTGTACTCTGTCTCAACCTGTCTTACCTTTACCCATAATACTTATTTTCTATGAAATGCTGTGTAAACATATAACATTATTTGGTTGATTATTGTCAATGTCACCTCACTAGAATGTAAAGTCCGTAAGAGCAGGAATGTTGTCTCTTTTATTCACTGCTGTATCCGCAAGGCGTGACACAGAGAAGACACTCAATAATTGTGTTGAATGAAAAGATTGAATGAGCTACCCAATTTGCATTAGGTATTTCAGACAACAAATAGACTAAGCAAATATATTCTGGATTCCCCAAACACTTTTTATGTTCAACAGCTATTATTGCTTTTACAGGTGAACGATTTCAGAAAGTGGAATTAGCACTGACAGGCACAGGACTTCCTGTTTTACTACAGTTTGATCCAGGACCAGTTCTTAATTTTAAACCTTGTTTCATGGGTGAACGTTCAGAAATTCAGTGCATCATAAAAAATCAATGCGAATTACTTCCTGTGACGTACCACTTTAAAAAAACTGCAAATTTTGAAATTGATCCTGAAAAGGGCAAGATTACTGGAGGGGGTATGGTGGTAAGATAATTTTTCTTTGCGTTTACATGGCAGCTAACATTTTAAGGTGTGCTAAAATGCTATGCGGAGGATTAGAAACAACATGTGTTCTACCAGTGTTTATAAATTGTTTCTCTTCTGCAGCCTAGTTATGAAGATTTTTGTATTGGTACTCATATAGAATCCATAATGATTTGTTAAGTGCCTGTCATGTGCCAGTGAAAGCATTTGGCACTAGGGAATTTAAAGAAATGCAAAACATAGTTACTTCCTCTAAAATATTAGACATATACACAGGTAGGTATGGCTTAAGGAGAATATAAAACATGTTAAAGTTGTAACAAGGTGATATAGAAACTCAAATAACAGAATGTTTACTTCTAACCAGATAGAAAGGTCTCCATAGGAGAGTAATGTATGAGCCAGACATTGAAGCTTGAGTAGAATTTTGAAGTTTGAAACTGGTGATATTTACCAGGCCTAGAACTTGTACTGCTGGTACAAAGCAGAAAAAGAGAATGCCAAGGCATACCTGTGAGCACTAGGTCAGCTTCTGGTTGTCAGGAGCTGTTTTTCTCTTAATTGCTGCACAGGTAACTCTTTCCCATATCCTCTAAACCATGGGTTAAAAGACGATGGTCCACAGGTCAAATATGGCCTGATGCCTGTTTTGGTAATTAGTGTTTTTGGAATATAGCCACTCTTATTTGTTCACCTATTGTCTAAGGCTACTTTCATACAAAAAGACAGAGTTGGCTGGGCGTGGTGGCTCACACCTGTAATCCCAGTACTTTGGGAGGCCGAGGCAGGTGGATCACAAGTCAAGAGATCAAGACCATCCTGGCCGACATGGTGAAACCCCGTCTCTACTAAAAATATGAAAATTAGCCGGGCGTGGTGGCACATGCCTCTAGTCCCAGCTACTCAGGAGGCTGAGGCAGGAGAATCGCTTGAACCCAGGAGGCAGAGGTTGCAGTGAGCCGAGATCACAGCACTGCACTCCAGCCTGGTGACAGAGTGAGACTCCATCTCAAAAAAAAAAAAAAAAAAAAAGACTTAAGTGGTTGTGAGAAAACCTATGCCTCATGGAGCCTAAAGTGTTCACTGTCTGGCAATTTACAGAAAGGGTTTGCTGAACCCTGCCTTAAATATAGCAAACATGAGTGCTTTCAGTTTCTCCTCAGTTTCTTATGTTATCATATTTCTTCCACTGCAGTGATGCAGTTCATAAAGTTATTGAAGGAAGCTTTCTTCCAATTGCAATTAAGAACTATTGTATACATGTTTATATACATGCAGCTCCTATTTATATCTTACTGCTTCATTAGTATGACTCTCTCCCTCCAAATTTGGATAGATGTTATCAGTTTTCAAAGAATAGCAACAAATGTTAGCCACTTTATACTAAATGTTTTCTTTTTAACTGCTTTCTAGATTTCCTGTAGTCCAAGTCTCTTAAACCTACCGACTCAATTATTTTTCTCCAGTAACATATGCATCTTTCAAAACATATCTAATAGCTAACTCCCCAATATTATTTTTAACCCTCTACATTTATGAATTTTTCCAACACTAATAATTTTCAAATTAGTAAAAATGCGAATGTAAGAAGTATAGTAGACACTGGAGAATTGTGGCCTGCACAGACTGGTCAAATGGCCTTTGACTATTTAGAAGTGTGATAAGATTATTCTTTTTAAATAATAACTTTATTGATATGTAATTCACATACCATAAAATTCACACATTGAAGTATACAATTCAGTGATATTAATATGTTCAGAGATTGCACACATCAGCACTAATTCCACAACGTTCTCTTCACCCCAAAAAGAAACTCCATGTCCATTAACAGTCATTCCCCTTCTCCTCATTCATCAGCCTCTGGCAAGTATTAATCTATTCTCTCTGTCAGTAGGTTTTCCAGTTTGGGTCATTTTCTATAAATATTATATTTATATAAGGCATTTTGTGTATGGCTTCTTTCATTTAGCGTAATATTTTCAAGGTTCATGCACATTGTAATATGTATTAGTGCTTCATTTTTATAGCCAAATTATATTTTTTGTATGGATATACCACCTTTTGTTTATCCGGTCATCAATTGAGGGACATTTGGGTTGTTTCCACCTTTTGGCTGTAATGAATGATGCTGCTATAAACATTCATGTACAACTTTTTGTGTGGACAGATTTTTAATACTGTTGAAATACACCTAAGAGTGGAATTGTTGGGGTCATATGAAAACTCTATGTTTAACTTTTTAAGAAACTGTCATACTATTTTCCAAAGTGACTATACCATTTTATATTCCTACCAGCAATAAATGAACATTCCAATTTACCCATACCCTCCACCACACTTGTTAATGTACTTCTTTTTTTATTATAGCCATCCCAATGGGTACAAAGTGGCATGTCCTTATGGTTTTCATTTAAATATCCCCAGTAACTAATGATGATGAATATCTTTTCATGTACTTATTGTCCATTTGTATATTTTCTTTGGAGAAATATTTATGCATATCTATGATAGGCAGAATAATGGCCCCCTAAAATATCTCTATCCTAATCTCTAGAAATTATGAACATGTGATGTTCTATGGCAAAGCAGAATTCAGGTTTCACTTGAAATTAAGACTGTTAATCAACCCACCTTAAAATAGGAAAATTAGCCTGGATTTTCCAGGTGAACCCTATATACTCTCAGGTTCCTTAAAAGTGGAAATGGAGGACAGAAAATGTGTCAGTGTCAAAGTAATGGAAGACTTTACTGTCCATTGATTTCTGGCTCTGAAGGTGGAAGGGGGTGGGGTGCATAAGTTGAGGAATGGGATGGCTTCTGGAATCTGGAAAAGGCAAGAAAGCAGATTCTCTGCTAGAGTTTCCAGAAATAAGCAGTCCTGCTGACACCTTGATTTTCATCCTGTGTTAGGCTTCTGACAAGTGTAAGATAAGAAATTGAGTTATTTTTGTCAACAAGATTTTTGGTAATTTTTTATTGCCAAAATAGAAAACTAATAGAATACATTTTACTATTTTTTTAATTGGGCTGTCTTTTTTTTATGGAATTGCAAGAGTTCTTTATATATTCTCAATACAAGTCCTTTGACAGATACAGAAATCACAAATATTGTATTCCATCCTGTGGATTGTCTTCCCACTTTCTTGATAGTTACCTTTGAAGGATAAAAGTAATACTTTTGACTAAGTTCAATTTATCTATTTTTTTCTTTTGTCTCTTGTGCATTTAGTATCATATCTAAGTAGTCATATACTGTCTGAGGTCATTAAGTTTTGTTTCCATGTTTTTCTCTAAGAATTTTAGCTCAAACTGTTAAATCTATTTGTTGGTCGGGCGCGGTGGCTCACGCCTGTAATCCCAGCACTTTGGGAGGCCGAGGCGGCTGGATCATGAGGTCAGGAGTTCGAGACCAGCCTGACCAATGTGGTGAAACCCTGTCTCTACTAAAAATACAAATATTAGCTGGGTGTGGTGTCACGTGCCTGTAATCCCAGCTACTCAGGAGGCTAAGGCAGGAGAATCACTTGAACCCAGGAGGCGGAGGTTGCGCACGCTTGTAATCCCAGCTACTCAGGAGGCTAAGGCAGGAGAATCACTTGAACCCAGGAGGCGGAGGTTGCAGTGAGCCAAGATCGTGCCACTGCACTCCAGCCTGGGTGACAGAGTGAGACTCCGTCTCAAAAAAAAAAAAAAAAAAAAAAACTATTTGTTATTTTTTGTAAATGGCATGATTTAGAGGTTGAAATGTATTCTTTTTCATAGAGATGTCAGGTTATCACAGAATATTGTCACATATATAAAAAAACCAATTGAATGTGAATATAAGGATTTCTAGACTAAAAATTCTATTTTGCATATCTGTATTTATCCTATGTCAGTACTACAATATATTAATTACTGTAGCTTTTTTTTTCTTTTTTTCGAGACAAGATACTTCACCATGTTGGCCAGGCTGGTCTCGAGCTGCTGATCTCAAGTGATCTGCCCGCCTCAGCCTCCCAAAGTGCTGGGATTACAGGTGTGAGCCACTGCGCCCGGCCTGTAATTACTGCAGCTTTATGGTATTTTTTGAATTTGGGAAATATGAGCCTTCTAATTTTTTTCTTTTTAAAGAAAATTTTTGCCTAATGTGGGATGCTTGCAAATACATATGAACTTTAACATTAGCTTGCTAATTTCTGAAAAAAAAAAAAAAAAAAAAAAAAAAAGGACAGCTGGAATTTTGAAAAGAATTGTGTTGAATTTGTAAGTCTATTTAGGGAATATTGCCATTTTAACAATATTAAATCCTGTGATCCAGAAGATTGTATGCCTTTACACTTATTTATGTCTTCTTTAATACCTTTTAATAATATTTGTAGTATTCAATGTACAAGTCTTGCAATTATTTTAAAAATTTATTTCTAAATATTTTATCCTTATTTGATGCTATGTAAATGAAATAGAATTCTTAGTTTTATTTCTGGATTATTCATTGCTAGTGCATATAAGTGCATTTGTTTTCTGCATATTGACCTTGTATTCTGCAAATTTGCTGAACTCATTTATTAGTTCTGGTAGTTTTTTGGTGGATTCTTTGGGATACAAGAACATGTCACCTGTGAATGGAGGTCACTTTACATCTTTCTTTCTAATCTGGATTCATTTTATTAACTTATTTTCTTACCTACTTGTCCTAGCTAGAACCTCTAGTACAATATTAAATAGCAATGGCAAAAGGGGTATCTTGTCTTGCTCCTGATCTGAGGGGAAAGCATTTAGTCTCTTATCAAGTTTCATGTTAGCTGTAAGTTTTTCATTGACTGCCTTTATAAACTTGAGGGAGTTCCCTTCTATTCCTAGTTTGTTGCATGTTTCTATTATGGAAGTGTATTTTGTCAACCACTATTTCTGTGTCTATTAAAATGATAATGTGATTTTGTCCTTTATTCTATTAAGAGTGTGCATTACATTGACATATGGATATTAAACTTGAAATCATACTTGTACATAGTATATAATCTTTTCTACGTTTTGCTGGCTTCAGTTTGATCGTATTTAGTTGAGGATTTTTGCATATATATTCATAAGGGACATAAGAATGCAGATTTTTAAAAAATGTTTTTGATTTTGGCATCAGAATAAAACCGGTGCCACAGAATGAATTGAGAATACACTCTTCTTTTAAATTTTTTGTAAATGCTTGTGAAGGATTGGCACTAATTCTTCTTTAAACGGTTGGTAGAATTTACCACCAAAGCCATTTTGTCCTGGGATTTTGTCAGAAAGTTTTTGGCTATTAATTCAATCCCTTTATTTGTTGTGGGGCTATTCATATTATTCATTTTTTCTTGGGTCAGTTTCAGTAGTTTATGTCTTTCTCTTTATAAGAATTTGCCCATGTCATTTAGGTTATCTGGTTTGTTGGTATTCAGTTGTTGATCACATAATCTTATACCCCTTTTTACTGGTGTAAAGTTGGTAGTGATGTCCTCTCTTTTATTCCTGATTTTAGCAAAGTTAGTCATCTCTTTTTTTGCTTATTAAGTCTAGTTAAAATTTTTTCAGTGTTGTTAATCATTTCAAAGATATAGTTTCAGGACTGTTGATTTTTTCCTAACATTTTCTATTATCTTTATTATTTATTACTACTTTTGTGTTTATTATTCCTTTCCTTATACTCACTTTGAACTTACTTTGTTCTGTTTTCAAATTTCCTAAGGTGGATGGTTAGAATATTGATTAAAGTCTTTTTTAAAAAATACTTTTGTTTATAACCATAAATTTCTGTCTTGTCACTGCTTTTTCTGCATTTCATATGTTTTGGTATGTTGTGTTTTAGTTTTTCTTCATCCCAAAATAATGTTGAATTCCCCTTGTGGTTTTATTCTTTAATCTATTGGTTATTTAGACATGTATTGCTTAATTTCCAAAATGCATGAATTTTTCACATTTTCTTCTCTTATTGATTTTAATTCATTGCATTTTGGTTGGAAAACATACTGCACAGATTTCAATCCTTTTAAATTATTGAGGCTTATTTCACAGACTAACATAGTCTATATTTGAAATGTTTCATTCAAAGTGCGAATGTGTACTTTGGAAAAATGTGCATTCTACTGTAGTTGGGTAAAATGTTCTACAGGTATATTTTGGGTCTAATTGGCTTATGATGTTTTTCAGTTCTCTGTTCTTTGTTGATCACATGCTTAGTTTTTCTAATCATTATTGGAAGTGGGATATCAAAGTCTCCCACTATTGTAGTTGAATTGCCTATTTCTTCCCTCACTTTTGTCAGTTTTTTGATGCTATTAGGTGCATATATGGTTATAATATGCATTCCTGATGTCTTGACCCTTTTATCATTATAAAATGCTCTTTTTTCAATGTAGAACTTTTTCTATCAATATCTATTTTGTCTTATATTAGTATGGGCACCCTGCTCTCTTTTGGATATTGTTTGCATATGACATATTATTTTGCCATCCTTTCACTGTCAACCTATTTGTATCTTTGTATACAATGTGTACCTCTTGTGGGAAATATGTAGATTATGTGTTTTTGCCTACTCCACCAATCTCTGCTTTTTGACTGCACAATTTAATCCATTTATGTGTATCCATTTATCTATTGATGAACACTTAGGTTGATTGCATATTTTGGCTATAGAATGATGCTGCAATTAACATGAGAGTGAAGATATCTCTTCAACATGCTGATTTCATTCCCCTTGGATAAATAAAATGTGGTGTGTGTGTGTGTGTGTGTGTGTGTGTGTGTGTGTGTGTGTGTGTATGTGTATGAATACTATACAGCCTTAAAAAAATAAGGAAATCTTGTCATTTGCGAAACATGGATGAACTTGGAGGATGTTATGCTAAGTGAAATAAGACATACTCAGAAAGACAAATACTGCATGGCTACACTTATATGTGGAATCAAAGTTGAACTCATAGAAGCAGATAGTAGAATTGTGGTTGCCAGGGGCAGTGGATGGCGAATAAGGAGATGTCAATCACAGAATACAAAATTTCAGTTAGACAGAATGAATAAGTTCTGAGAGTCTATTGTACAGAATGGTGGCTATGGTTAATAAAAGGGTATAAATATTTTCAACACAAAACAGTAAGGATATATTATTTAGCTTTATTTAATTGTTTCAAAATTACATCAAAATTACATATTAAATACTATATATTTACTATATATTTGTATACAAACAATTTCTATTTATTAGTTGTACCTTAATAGAGCTGGGGGAAAGAAATGTAAAGAAAATCCATTTACTTTTTTCAAAAATTTTAATTTTAATTTCAAATTCTGGGGTACATGTGCAGGATGTGCAGGTTTATTACATAGGTAAATGTGTGCCAATCCATTTATATGTAATGTAACTACTAGTAACATAGGATTTGCATTTGCTATTTTTCTATTTGTTTTCTATAATTACATATCCTCCTAATTTTCTATTATTTCATTATTGCTTTATTTTGTACTAAATAGATATTTTGTAATATACCATTTTAATTTTGTCATTATTTATTTTACGAAACTTTAAAAACATTTAATTTTCTTAGTGACTGCCCTTTGGGTTACGTTTAACATCTTTAACATAAAACAGTCTCATTCACATTAATGTCAACTTAATTTGTATAGTATACAAAAACTTTTGCTCCAATAGAATTATGGTTCTTGTCTCCTCTTTGTGCTATTCTTGTCATACAAATAATATGTGTTTATTCTTTAAAAGCTCATCCATACTCTAATACTTATTTCTGTATGCATTGCTTTTTAAATCAGATAGGAGCAGGAAAGCATTGCAAACAAAAGTACGTTTATGCTGTTATATTTATCTATGTAGGTAGTTACATTTGCCTGTGCTCTTAATTTCCTTGTCTGAATTTGAGTTACTATCAAGTGTCCTTTTACTTCATTGTGAAGAATTCCCTTTATATTTTTGTGATGAAAATGTACTAATGATACATTCTCTTCATTTATATTTATCTGGAAATGTCTTAATTTATACTTCAGTTTTGAATGATAGTTTTGCTAGTTATAGAATTTTGCATGTACAGTCTTTTTCCTTCAATATTGGAACACACCTCTCCACTGCCTTTTTGCCTTCAGTGTTTCCAATGAGAAGTTAGCTGTTCATTTCTAAAGAATCCTTCTCATGTGATGATTATCTTTCTTCTTGTAGTTTTTCAAGATTCTCTGTCATTGGTTTCTGATAGTTTGACTTTGTTGTGTTTAGGTGTGGATCTATTTGATTTACCCTGCTTGGGTTTTGTTGAGTTTCTTTGATATGTAGATTGTCTTTAATCAAGTTTTTGAACTTTTCATCTATTATTTCTTCAAATATTTTTTCTGACCTTTTCTTTCTCTCTTCTCCTTTTTAGACTCCCATCATACATATGTGACTATGCTTGATGATGTCCCCAAAGTCTCTGAGACTCTGTTCTTTATTCTTCATCCTTATGTATCTCTCTTCAATGTGAATAATTTCAAATGTCTTGTCTTCAATTTCATTGGTTAGTTTTTCTGCCAGTTCAAATCTGCTATTGAGTCCCTTAAGTAAATTTAAAATTTTAGTTACGTTACTCTTCAATTCCAGAACATTTATTTGTTCTTTTTTATAATTTCCACACTTTATTGAAATTGTGTATTTTGTGAGACATTGTTCACATACTTCCTTTAATTCTTTTGACCTGTTTCCCTTCAGTTCTTTGAAAATATTTACAATAGTTAACTTACTATGTTTGTCTAATAAGTTCACCATTTGGATTTCCATAGGGACATTATCTATGAACTACAGCTTTCCTAGGTATTGGCCATACTTTCCTGATTATTTGGGTGTCTCGTATTTTTTTCATGTTGAAAACTGGGCATTGTACATAATATAACTTGGCAACTATGGAAATCATTGCATTATTTATTGTTGCTTTTTTGTTGTTGTTTTGTTTATTTAGTGATTCTCTAGACTAATTCTGTGAAAGCTTTTTGTTTATTGTGTGCAGCCAATAAAGTCTCTACTCAGTTAATTTAGTGTTCAGCTAATGATTGGATAGAGGTTCCCTTAAATTCCTTGAATCAATAAGTCTCACAGCCTATATCAAGAGCCTCTGTATAAGTAAGTATGTTGGGGCATGTCTTCAATATTCTGTCAAGTAGTTTACAACTCTTTCTAGACTTTAATTCTTCCTTGTAAAGAGCCTCAAATTCAGCCATAGATGAGACATGAGAACTTAATTAAATCTTTTCTGGGAATATACACAGTCCTGCAGATGTGTGTCACAATCTAGGTTCCCAGGAATATTTCAGAGCTTTTCAAATACCATCTGAATATCTTGTTCTCAAGTGATTTTTAAACTTTTCTATTTGTGCATTTATTATGAATAACCTTCTTTTAGCCTTAAATGGTAATGCCACCTCAAGTTACTGAGAAGTTAAAAAAGTGCTGCATATATGCATACACAGAGTAATATATACCTATATATTTGACAGAACCCTGGAGAGAGAATTGTGCACACAGAGTGAGCTCTGAATCATGTGAGACAAAACAAATATGTACATCTCTCTGGTAGTGAGGCGTTTGGAGTGTTCCAAACTCATTCTTTTCCCTCTTTTGGCTACTAGGCTAATGGTTTTCACACACAGTTGCAAGGCTGTTGTTTTTCAAGGAGACCACAAAGCTGAATTTTAAAGAATGGGATTACATCAAGTAAAAATGGCACAGTCTTCTATTCCTTCAGAGATTCAACCTTTTTTCTTTAAGTAAATACTCCTTGGATTTTTGTGAGCCTTTAGGTAATCTTCAAATATCTGAAAGGACTACATTTTGACAATTTTTATTGCCAGTGTTCTCTTTCCTCTTCTGGAGAAGTAGGTTTTTGGAAGTCCTTAATCCACCATTCTGAATTTGCTTTGGTACTATGTTTAATTTTTCTTAAAATTATTTAAGAAAAATAATTTTTTAAATAATTTTTTAAATAATTTCATTACTTAAAGTTACTAATATTTAAGAAATATTAGCTGCTAATATTTAAGAAATATTAGCTGCTAATATTTAAGAAATATTAGCTGCTAATATTTAAGAAATATTAGCTGCTAATATTTAAGAAATATTAGCTGCTAATATTTAAGAAATATTAGCTGCTAATATTTAAGAAAAATAAAAAATTTTAATAATTTTTATTAAAAAATTATTTAAGAAAAGTAATGAATATTTTAAAAGTTTGTCAGTGCTGTATATTTCTGAAGTACTTTCATATTACCATTATGAGCTAGCTTTCCTTGAAATTTTATTAACTGGTTTTTTTTTTAGATTTGCTGTTAACTTTTTTTCTACCAATTTATTATTGGTTACTTTTCATCTTTTTTTTTTAGGATGTGATGTGTTCATTTGTTCCACATCAACTTGGAGTCTTCAAAGTGAAGCAGATGATAGAGATTATTGGTTTAGTGGCAGAAGAAGATTTGCAATCTTTGTCGGTAAAATCTTTCCATCACGTATATTTAGCTTTCAACAGCATCTGTAAAGCTTCCACCAAGAAAGTTGTGATGAAATTTGATCCTGGTATGCTATTGTGTAGTGCCCACCTGGCTTTGTTGTTACTGTTGTTAATTTAAGATTATTTTAATATACTAATTGCTTAATTACACACGCACATATATGTGAAAGAAGTGCTTTTAGCATTTCCCAACGACCGAGCTGCAACTATCAGGTCTAAAGACATATATATATGTATATATATAAAATAATGTGGTCTGACCCAGGAGTTCTCATCTTTTAACATGCATCAAAATCACCTAAAAGGCCTGTTAAAACACATGTCATTGGCTTACATCCCAGCAATGATTATTAAGCTTGTCTGTGTTACGGCCCAAAGACACATTTTTACAATGTTCCCAGTAGATGCTGACACTGCCATTACTGCCATTCTGAGGATTGCGCTTTGAGTAGCACTGGTTTATTGATGTATACAGTTTATTTAATATTTTCCTGGTTTTTATATTTTATTCTTCTTAGTTTTGTTGTTGAGGGAGTTTATAATATAAACTTTTTGACTATTCTATGGATTTACTTGTTGCTACTGTTTTATCTAATTCCTCATTATCTTTTATATGTTGAACCATATGAAGTTGCTGATATTCAACTGTTTTGGACCAACAAAAAATTTAGTTTCATATGGGTAAACCTAAATCCTTCAAGTTATCATATTTTATATTTTTATATATGCATTTTTATTATTCATATTTTATTATTTTGCTAAAATTGTGTAGGTCTTTTTTATTAATGATTTGTATTTTCCAAATGTGTTTAGGAGTTGAGCATTTAAGTTAGAATCAATTGTCTAGTGTATTAATTAATTCATGGTTATTGTTTTTAAAGTTGAAATTAAAAATACCATCTATAAACTTATATTCAATTCTATAAAAGGTATATTGCCTTCGATCCGTAATCCCACGGGAAAGTTTGTGGTCAAAGACTTGGCAAAACGCAAGAATTATGCACCTGTAGCAATGCTTCAATCAGCCATGACACGCACTCACAATCATCGCTCATGTGAAGAGCCAGTGAAGGATATGCTATTAGCCTTTCCCAATGACCGAGCTGCAACTATCAGGTCTAAAGACCATCATAAACATTTCAGGTAACATGAAATATTAAAACCCTGAAATTTGGAAAAGCTTAATGGACAACACGACATGCAGAAGTTTCATCAGATCCTGCTGTATAACACTAATGATTACAATAATAATAATAATAATAATAATAATAAAACTGCAATTATCTTTTCATTTTTTTTACATGGAGTGACATGGTTGTTGAATGCCACTGTGTTTGTTTTCGGTTAGAACCTCTTTTCACCTCAATATGTACTTGCCTGGAAGTGAATGGTATATAAAATGTTCTTCAAATATGCTATTGACAAGTATAGAAGAATAATACAAATAATCATCTTTGGAAATGTAACAGGTCCTCAGAGTAGTAATGTTTATTAAGTATGGTTGAAAGCTTGAGTTTATTTAAGCTAAAAAATAAAATTGTGTAAAACAATCATGGTTATCATCATCATCATCATCCTCCTCATCATCATCATCTTTGTTTGACCCCCTTCAAAGGCACATTTTTAATAATCTTCCACAAAGTGAACTTAAACCTCCCCAATTAGGATGATAAAAAGTGTTCAACCTCAGTTTATATTTATCCAAATCTCAAATAAATTACTAATTTTCCAATGGTTAGTGAGAAGTGAACCAGGCATCCCGACATGCTTATCTGGGCCCTGTGCCCAGGAATAGTTTTTACACATTTGAGACCGGAATAAGTTTTTTTATTTTTTTCTGCCTGCTTGTATGCTACTAGTAAAGTATCTAAACTTTATAATGGCTTTGGGCTTTCTGCACTTGTCTTTTTAGCTTTGGTTAGTCATTAAGCTCACTTAATTCTGCAGACATTTTCTTGCAATACCATTTGATTTTTAGGACATAATTGTTTTATTGTCTATGATAGGAAAAGTCCAGGTTTTTCTATAGTCTATCTTATTATTTTACAAATTCCATCCAAATTAGCCTTTTTAAAAATTATTACTTGACAAGTACCATAAAACACAGAAACATAAAAACCACTCAGACTCCATTTTAAATAATTGCCATATTATAGAAAAGAAAATTCTGTTTTTTCCTCTGGCTCATTCTGTTCACTCCCACCCTGCAGAGGTGGCTTCTAGCAATAATTTTTTATGTACTTTTTTCAACTCTTTCTTAAGGTTATACACATCTATATAGAGATATATCTATGTATCTACATATGTATATATGTATATATCTATATATGTATATAGAGATATAATGTGTTAATTTAATATTAATATTTTGTTTCTGTCTCTCTGTATTAATCAAATGATCTAAAAATAGCAGAATTTTAAAAATAAGGCCAAGTATTTACTATTTATCCCCTGACCATAATTATTTTTCTCAATGAACACTTTTTCATATTAATAGTTAAGGCAGTATTTAGTCCTTATGTTTTCTGGCCAGCAATTAGTAACTTTAAGTAATGAAATAAGTTTTATAGTGTATTTACTTGTTGATAATTGTAATTTCTATTTCATTTTAATGCATTTTACCTTTTCAGTTTTTGAGAATAAAATAAGGGAGGGATTTTTGTCTAGTTTTTATTTGCTGCAGTATGCCTTGTGCTTAGAACAGTGTCAGGCATAGAGTAGGCACTTGGTAAATATTTTTTGAATAAATAAATGAGGAAAAATATTTTATTTCCATAGTAATTTTTGTCCCCTGTTCTTTGCATATTTTAAAAAACTTATCCTCCTTAAGCTGCAGAGATTACATTTCTAGATGTTTTTCTAAGGAGCTGATAAGGATTTAGATATGTTAATAGTCAGCTCTTTCTCATTTAAGGCATTTACACCACTACTTCTTTCCTTATCCTTCTCTCCTTGTTAGAGGTATCAGGACTTCAAATATATGTAGGAATTATTTCTAGGTTCTAAAGGTGGTTAAGTGTCTCAGATCTTGAAGGAAAATTTAAATATCAAAAATCGTCTTTGAGCAACAAAGCATTTGTTTCCTGTCTTGTTTTTTCACTCTCTTAAAGAAATTAACACAGTTAAAGCTGTATTACTGTAAACATTGAGGAATTGTTGAAGACAAGAAGAAAAATTAATTTTCATTTGACTTTGTGACTAATACCTTCATACTTATGTTTTTTTTCTTTTTTTTCATTATACTTTAAGTTCTAGGGTACATGTGCACAACGTGCAGGTTTGTTACATATGTATACATGCGCCATGTTGGTGTGCTGCACCCATTAACTCGTCATTTATATTAGGTATATCTCCTAATGCTATCCCTCCCCCCTCCCCCCATACTTACGTTTTAATTACTGAGGGTGAATATCCTAATGATTAAGAACATTTGCTGAAGATTGAGGTAGACCAAAGCCAGAAGGTGTGAATACTTGCACATTTTTTTTAATTGAAAATATATGGTGGGTAAAAAGGAAGAGCATAAACCCAGTTGAGTGAATATTAGATATAAAGTAATTCGCAGTTCTTTTATGAATTGTTTCCTCTATATAGGCTTATTGTTGATGGTTATTTCATAAGTTGTGAAGTTTAAAGGAGGTAGCATGTTTAGCAAAAAGATTCATTATTGTACATTTTTTTTTCTGACTTTGATCATGATGATCTAAAAACAGTTAACTTTTAGGAAACACTAGTCAGATACAGATCTAGTTTCTTGGAGTCTTGTCTGTAATCTAGCAGTGTCCAAATTGCCTAACTGACTAATTCTTCAAAGATGGATTTAGAATAGGCACCATTACATCCCAGTGACCTTACAACGGATTTTTTTTATTAGATTAAGAAAAAATAGGCTTCACTCTAGTTCTACATTCAATCATGTCTTGATATAGAATAGCATATGAGGGGAAGGACTAGAATCTGTTCTATTTGCCATTCCACATCCAACACCTGATATAGAAATTGGCTAGGAGGCTGTCAGTAAATACTGATTGAACAAATGCATATATAAAAATATTAACATGACTTGCTTATATTGCAGGCCAATTTTCACAAAAGTTCCAAGATTTAACTATGTGAATCATGATTTTGCATATACTACATTTGAAAAACAGCAAAAGAAATTACATGAAAACTATTATGCAATGTATCTTAAATATTTAAGAAGTGTGCGCTTGCAGAAGAAACAAGCAGAGAGGTAATGTTCAGTTCCTCAAAAAATATGCAACAGATCATGGTGTCTACAGAGTCAGAATTTTTTTTTAACTCCTTGGTTTCTTTTTATTTTAGATGTTGTAAACTACATTTCAATACGTGATAAAAGCAAAACACTGAGCTGCTTTAACTACAATTATTTCTTTTGTTACCTTTTAACTCGGAATTGTCTTAGATGGGTTTCCCCAGAAGCAGATCTTGAGACAGGGATTCCAGTGCCTATGATTTATGGAGTGTGTGCTCTCGGGAGAAACCTGTACAGAATGAGGGAAGCAGAATAGGGAAGGAGTGAGAGCTGAGGAAAAATGTGTTTCAAATAAAGTTGACACTCAGGGTCTCTTGAGACTAAATTTTACCACAAAGTTGTTGCTGGCTTGAGCCAAAGGGGCTTGTCTTTTGTGTTCCATATCAGTCATTGGCTGTCCTTGGGTGTGGCAGGCATGAGCATAATTTCCTCGATGAGATGTTTGAGAAGGGAGTCTCCTCAGCAGAGGACAATTTTATGTGGATTAGTGCACCAGTCTGGTTAAGTGGATATGAGTGAGGCAGCAGCAATATGCACTATGGGAAAGGCTTGAATTTACAGATGCATTTTTTGAATGACTTGACCTCAATTACTGATTATTATTATTATTAATTTTATAGGGAGCGCATGTATTCATATGATGATACAGACATAGGCTTAGAGCCAGGATCAGGTCTAAAGTCACCCTCACTCTCAGAAGCGGAAATAGAAGAGGAGCTGTCTTCAGCAGCAAATTCAATTAGAGCGAATCGATTGTTAACCACCAGGGGTATAGCATCTCAGGAGGAAGAGTCTGTGAGAAGAAAGGCACGTGCAATGTTTTACATTTGGTTATTCCACGAGAATTCTTAAAATAGCTTTTGCTAATAATGAATAATTCTGGAAAAATATGATTTTTTACAGGTTCTCAAAGGACTTAAATCAGAACCATCCACTCCACAAGAAAAACATGATTGCAGCTTAATGTTGACACCAAAGCAAATTCATCAAGTAATTGTTGGTGAGAATACACAAAAACCTACTACAGCCTTTATTTTTTTATAAAAAAAAGATTTCTTAAAGTGTAATTTATATTTCATAAAATTTAAAGTATGCAAGTATCAACTTTGGAAATATAAGAAGTCCTCAGAGTAGTCATAGTTATTAAGTATGACTGAGAGAATTAACTTTAGTAAATTTAAAGTTATATAACCACCTTCGCAATTTAATTTTAGAATGCTGCCATCACTCTCATGCCCATATGCAGTTACTCTCTATTTCTTTCTTTCTTTCTTTCTTTTTTGAGACAGAGTCTCACTCTGTTGCTTAGGCTGGAGTGCAGTGGCATGATCTCGGTTCACTACAACTTCCACCTCCCGGGTTCAAGCGATTCTCCTGACTCAGTCTCTCAAGTAGCTGGGATTACAGGTGCAGCACCACCACATCCAGCTAAGTTTTTGTATTTTTAATTGAGATGGGGTTTCACCATGTTGGCCAGGCTGGTCTTGAACTTCTGACCTCAAGTGACCCACCAGCCTTGGTCTCCCCAAATGCTGTGATTACAGAGTGTGAGCCACCGCACCCCGCCCAGTTACTATTTCTACCCCTTGCCTCAGACAACCATTAATCAACTTTCTATACAGTTGCCTATTCTGAAAATAAATGGAATCATACAATATCTAGCCTTTCATATATTGTTTCTTACACTTAGCATAATGTTTTTGAGGTTCACCCACGTGGTAGGTAGTATCAATATTTTGGTCCTTTTTCTATTGAAACAGCACCCCATTTTATGAGTATACCACACTTTGTTTATCAATTCCCCAGTTGATGGACATTTAGTTGTTTTCAGTTTGAGGCTATGATCAATAATGCTGCTATGAACATTCACATAAAATTCTCTGATTTCTAGGAGTGGAATTGCTGGGTTGTACAATAAATTTATATCTAACTTAAAAAAAAACCCTCTAAAATGTTTTCCAAAGTGATTGCACAAAGTTGTAATCCTATCAGCAATGTATAAGGGTTACAAGTTCTTCAACATTCTCACCAGCACTGTTACTTTCTGTCTTTTTGATTA
This sequence comes from Homo sapiens, assembly GCF_000001405.40. Taxonomy (NCBI): domain Eukaryota; kingdom Metazoa; phylum Chordata; class Mammalia; order Primates; family Hominidae; genus Homo; species Homo sapiens. Next base: position 35,973,025 of record NC_000023.11, read on the forward strand.
TAGACCTACTAGTGAGTATGAAATGTTATCTCATTGTGGATTTGATACTCATTTCCCTAAATGAATAAGATGTTGAATATATTTTCATGTACTTACTTAGAGAAATGTCTATGTATGTCATATATAGTCTTTGGAGAAATGCCTTTTAAATTCTTTACCCATTTATTTATTTATTTATTTATTGCGACGGAGTCTCGCTCTGTCGCCCAGGCTGGAGTGCAGTGGTGTGATCTCAGCTCACTTCAAGCTCTGCCTCCCGGGTTCATGCCATTCTTCTGCCTCAACCTCCCGAGTAGCTGGGACTACAGGCATCCGCCACCACACCTGGCTAATTTTTTGTATTTTTAGTAGAGACGGGGTTTCACTGTGTTAGCCAAGATGGTCTCCATCTCCTGACCTCGTGATCCGCCCGCCTCGGCCTCCCAAAGTGCTGGGATTACAGGTGTAAGCCACCGTGCCCGGCCTCTTTGCCCAATTTTTTATTCAAATATTTGCTTTCTTATTATAGAAAATGTTCTGTGTATGTGTTTATCTGTAGCATAATGTAGATATGCCTGCAACTTGGATTCTTAGCTTAGTTCTCTCTGGAATTGTGTTTGTGTGCTTCAAGAACACCATGTGTGCTATAGAGTAGGAAGGCTCTGTACTGAGACCAAACTGGGTTTGGTTCTGCAACCTACTAGTGCAGTGACATTAGGGTTTACCTCTATGGGTCTCAGTTTCTTCATCTGTGAAATGGGAAGTGATAATATTGCCTACCCCATAGTATAATTGTGTGAACCAAGTGCCTTACACATAATAAGTGTTTAGAAAGTTTTAGTGAAAACACTTCATCCCTAAGATGAGTATGCTGCATTAGAAAATGCTTAAAGTCTAATTGTAATTCCTTTATCCATTCAGTCATTTTATAAGTGTTAATTGAATGACCACCATATACTAGACACAGTTCTGGGTTCTGGAGATACAGCAATGAAGAAAACAGACTGAGCCCCTGCTCTCATAGAGATTACATTTGGCTGGGGTGGGAGGGAGATAATAAACCTTTCCTTATATAATACATAATTGGTATACAAGGTATGAAGAAACATAAACCAGGTTAAGTAGATCGAGAATAATAGAATGTTTTCATGGAGAGTCTTTTTTACCAGGTGGTTAGCATCTCTGAGAAGTATATTTGAGCAGAGACAGATACCTGTGTGAGGTAAAGACATGAGGCATCTGGGCTGACTGTGAGTTAGGAGAACAAGTGAAAACTCCTTTTTAACCTTGAAGAAGTGCTATACAATATACCCTTCTAGGTCTGTTTTCACCAAGTGATTGAAGGACAGTTATGATTAAAGAAGTAGTGGCTATAATGGTCTGAAGTGGGAGTTCTCATTTCATTCTAACCACAGTTAAGGTGGCCATGAGGGAGATGTGGACAAAGGATGATTGATTGGGCTGATTCTCTCTCTAGGGGGGAATTCAGCATATAAAACATGGAGAATGGTGGGAGAGAAGGAATGTAAAGGGGCACAAAATTTTTGGAGTGATAAATGTTCAGTCTTTATTGTGGTGATTGTTTCACAGGTGTATACATATACGAACACTAATGAAATTCTATACTTTAAATATGTTCAGTTTACTTACTATATGCCAGTTTTAACTAATTAAGCTGTTAAAGGCAGGGCAAAACTTAAAATTATTAAAATTGCTTTGATATAAAATCCTGGGCATTTTAAGGGGAAAACTTAAGCAATGGGTCATGGGAAATTTACCAGTTTCCGTAAATTATAGATAAGTGAACAAAATACTTGTACTAGTGGGAATAGAGGAGGTGTTGAAGTGTTGCAAATTAAGGTGCTAAGATAAGTTGTAGTGAATGGTTCTTATTTAGTCATATAATTTTTCATATAATTAGAATATATTTATATTGAATTGTAGCCAATAATGTCCAAACATTTAATCATGGTCATCTAGAAAAAAAATGCTTACTTAATAATTCCTGCTATTATTGTAAATATTTTTTAAAATTTCATTTTTATACAAATTGGTTGATCAAAATATATTTTGAAAACTTAAAAAGTAAATGAAGTCATTTGCCATCTTTAAACTTAACAAAATACTTTTCATTTTTTTTCAGGGCCTTCTGTCCTTAACTTTGGTAATATTTGTGTGAACTCTCCAAATACTCATCTACTTCATGTTATTAATATGCTACCTATGCATGTTTTGCTCCAGTTAGATACTGATTTAGAAGAACTTCAGAAGACCAACCAATTTTCATACGTGATTCTACCTACATCCAGTACTTATATTTCAATGGTATTTGACTCTCCCACCATTGGAAAATTTTGGAAGTAGGGATTATTTTTGAATTTCTGCTTGTTAGAATCAAAGTGTACTTCTGTAGAATATGTATTTATTTTCCTGAATAATTGTATTGTATATTATATTTGTTCTCCAAACATAGAAGCTATATGTGCATCAATTTTTAGATATATAGATTGATAGTTTAGTAGCAATCTAATTATCTTTCATAATTAAAGTATTACGTGCTAAGAATTGTGGATGTTAATCAATGCTATGTGCATTTTACGTGTAGCTGAATTCTATAATCACAAATAACTATTATCAGTTAAATTTGGATGCTTTTGCTGCATTACAGGTCTTTCACCTTTACAGTGAACAATGTACCCAGTGGACACATCCTAGTGGTGGCAGTTGTCCAGCCAGTAACACTTGAGCTATCTTCTAATGAGCTAGTATTGAGACCACGAGGCTTCTTCATGAAAACATGTTTTCGGGGGACAGTTAGATTGTATAATCGTCAGAATTGTTGTGCTCAGTTTCAATGGCAACCCGTAAACACAGGAAGAGGGATAGCATTTTCTATTTGTCCAGCTAAAGGTAACAGTTTATTGTTTGTTTGATTTAGACATTTATTTTTTCATGTATTCATGTATTCTGGTATTAATTATTTATTGAGTGTGTACTGTGTACTGGTGCCAAGAGTATAGAAGTAAATCAGATACTGTCATCAGGGGTATTTATTTTTACAGATATAATATGATTTGGAAATATGGAACCCTTGTTAGGGTTCTCCAGAGAAACAGACCAACAGGGAGAGAGAGAGACAGAGAGAGAGAGATAAAGAGAGAGACATTTTAAGGAACTGGTTCTGGCTCACAGGTTGTGTGGTTGTGTGGCCTGGCAAGTTTGAAATTTGCAGGGCAGGGTGGTAGACTGGAGATACAGGGAAGAGTTGATGGTGGAGTCTTGAGTCCAAAGGCATTCTGGAGGCAGAATTTATTATTCCTCCTGGGACATCAGTCTTTTCTGTTAAGGCTTTCAAATAATTGGATGAGACCCACCCGCATTATGAAAGGTAATCTGCATGTTAATTAACTGATTGTGATAATTATTATACTATATATGCATATCAAATCATTATGTTGTACACCTTGAATGTATACAGTCTTTGTCAATTAACTGTTTCAAAAAGCCTACTGATTTAAGTGTTAATTACGTCTAAAAAAACACTTTCACAACAACATCTGGACTGGAGTTTAACCAAATAACTGAGCCCTACAGCCTGGAGCAGTTGACAGATAAAATTGATCATCACAGATACTTATGGACAAAATAAATTTTGTTTAGTTTTAGTTAGATAATGATGATAATCTGTGATTCAGAATGACATATTTTTCTAGTATGAATTCTTTTAGAAAGATCTAGAAATTACTTATAGCCAATATTTAATACAACTCATAAAATCCAATTAATAAAATTAAGAACTTTAAATAAGATGATTTTTAATTAATAGAAGACAATCTCAGATATACCATTTTTGACGTGCCCTGTATTTGTGAAGCATCCTCTTAACCTTGTTTCTGCCATTCCCTGGAGTCTATAATTCCACATAGTATACCTGCTGTAACATGAACAATCGTAACTGCTAAACTGTGACTTATTTAGTAGCCTGTCAAATTTGGCAAACATCCTTGTGATGTGCTGTGAGGACCTCATGATGGCACAAGCTATCATTTAGGAAATAAGATAGCAATTAAGAAGTTGAATGATCAATACGGTATCTTTGTTTTATGTACATGTTGTGCCTTTCCAGCTAGATGAAAAGGCTGGATCTTTGTATCAATAGTGACCCATTTGGTGCTTTATAACAGCCGAAGTCCAATTTTGCATGAATGGAAAGTAAAACAGACTTTGGATAATCGTAGCTGCTCACTAGCTATTTTAACTTAAGCAAAGTACTCTGTGAATACAAGTTTCCTCATCTGTAAAATGGAGAGATGACTACATCTCAAAGATTAATTGTGTGAGAAACTTCTCTAATGCCTGGCAAAGAGTAGGTGCCAAATAAATGGGTAGCCATTTTATTACGAAAATTTTCTAAATCTGTTTGGAATTTTTTCCTGAAACGATCCTCAGAGTAATAACCTATCCTGCACCTTTCCATCCATCCTCATTAGAAAACCCTTGCTCCCTGTTTCCTTCCATCTTTCCTCCCTCCTTTCATCTTTCCTCCCTCCTTTGTTCTCTTTCTAGTTCCCTTCCCCTTCTCTCTCCCTCCCTCTTTAAGTCTAATTTAGCAACAGTAATTATTTAGGGTCTAAATAGAAATATACTATACTTCATATTTCAGACGAGTCCTGGTTTGTAGAAATCTTGCCTTAAACATATTTTCTTGTGAATATCAGTCATTTCCAAATCAGTATTTTACATAGCTCTAAAAGTGCTTGTAACAGGGAGTGTTATAAAAACAATCTTAAGTATTAAATTAAATTCACTTAATTTTAGTGTGGATGTGTAGATAGAGATTTTGACAAATTTAACAAGTGGAAGAGTAGGACAGTCCTTTCATTAGGTTTGGAGATCACTGACACAGCTATTTAATCTTCTTATTAATGTGGATTGATTTAACACCATTCTACATCATAATTTGTTAAGTATCTGAAATATACTTTCATCAACATTTCACAGATTCACTTGACCGAGCTCTTTATAAATTTTAATACTGAAAATACTGGATCCTGCCTCAATCTATTGAAATGCTGAGAGAGTAATTAGAGAAGAAAGAACATATTTCTGTACATTTAAGATATTTTAGATAAACCTTCTTCAGTTTGTTTGAACAGGTATCAAACAGTGGTTGTTGTATTATCAGCATTCCAGCTACAGGTGCTGACCAACCATCTGATATTGTGCTAAGAGTGTTAAAAAGCTCACTAGCCTATACTTCTCCTTGTATTAATATTTCTATATTCTAACTAGGGAGGAATGGGCTGGGCTTGCCTTATGGCTGCTATGGAAATGCAATGATGATACTTAATTTTTGTAAAAGAGAAGTGGAATTATGATATTATAAGCTGGAGTACCAGTTATGCTTCTTGTGGTCTTTAGAACTCTTATTTTTACAGGAGAGGTTTTTACATTTAATTTTATTTTCTTTGGTTGCTCATGACACCTCTTATAATTTTTAAACAAACAATTACCAAGGTACAAACACACAAAGATATTTAATTTCAAGTAAAATTTTTGTGTAGGTAATGCCATTAGTACTTAAGTTCTTTTTAAGAATACAAAAATATAATCCTCAAATCTATCTCATATAGCATTGAAAAAAGTGTTTGTAATTTGTAGCATATACAGTTTTGCTTATGTTCCTTTCCTCAGAATATTTATATAATGATTACTCAATTTCATATTGTTTTTACCATTTTATAAACAGAAAGTGACTTTTTACCAAGCTATTTTTCTTGTGCTGTATCAGTTTTGCATCCTGGACAATACATTTAATCATATGCCTCTCTCTATATTTTTATAAACTGAAATGAATAATTCCAAATTAAAATTTATATTGTCTTTGTCCTTCTTCCCTGAGGCATGATAGGTTTTGTGTTTGTGTTTGATAGTGGATATTGTAAGGGGAGAATATAAGAGTGGATTGATATTTTCTTTTTTATTATTTTTGAGACAAAGTTTCACTGTTGTTGCCCAGGCTGGAGTGCAATGGCGTCATCTCAGCTCACTGCAACCTCCACCTCCCGGGTTCAAGCGATTCTCCTGCCTCAATCCTCCCGAGTAGCTGGGATTATAGGCATGTGCCACTACGCCCGGCTAATTTTGTATTTTTTAGTAGCGATGGGGTTTCTCCATGTTGGTCAGGCTGGTCTCGGACTCCTGACCTCAGGTGATCCGCCTGCCTCGGCCTCTCAAAGTGCTGGGATTACAGGCATGAGGCTCCGTGCCTGGCCAAGAGTGGACTGATATTTTCTAAGACAGAATTCAATTCTAATTTGACTTTTTCTGTGGGTATTTTTCATGCTTCTGCTTGTTTTGTTTTGTTTTTGTCTGTTATCTTTATCCTTACTAAAACCTTGAATCACACAATCCATGAACTTGTTTTTGATCAATTCACTCCCACTCTCTTTCTCACTTCTCTCACTGCTTGGTTGTATGCAGTACCAGCTCTACCAGTCCCAGCCTTGCTCAATCCAGCTGAAGGGGAGAAAATCTAATTTATTTTTTCAATCCTCATAAATTTTTAACTGAGATACTCTCTCGAAACAAAAGTCAGAATAACAAAAGAAAAACCAGCAGAAATTTATTGATGCATGCTGTACTGATCACATAGGAGAGGCCTCAGTTCAAAAGTATCTCACAAGGCAGTGGCTTAGAGGTCTTATTTAAATAGTATTTTAACAAAGAGCAATAAATCTTAGCATAGTAAGACAAAGGAGAATGCAGTTCCAGTCTTTTAAAAGGCAGAAAAATATAAGAAGGTAGATTTTACCATGGCAGCCGTAAGGCAAGCCCAGCCCATTCCTCCCTAGTTAGAATAGAGAAATATTAATACAAGGAAAAGTATAGGGTATTGAGCTTTTTAAACCTTAGCACAGTATCAGATGGTTGGTCAGAACCTATAGCTGGAATGCCGATAATACAACAACCACTGTTTGATACCTGTTCAAACAAACTGAAGAAGGTTTATCTAGAATATCTTAAATGTACACCTAAAATCTGCTCCCAGATTTCTCTGGTGCCTGCTGATGTCTTCTCTGGGGCAATAAGCAAGTGATGTCTCCAGTAAGGAAGGATTTACATCCCAACATCAGGCAAACAGAGGCTGAGGCCCAGTGTTCTCCTGTGTTTTTAATTTAACAATCTTAATATATTGGGGAGAAATACTTTGTTTTCCTTTACAGCCATCCAGTTTCTTTCCCATACCCCTGATATACTTAATATTCCTGAAGAAAAAATATATAACTGTGCTCATTGGAGGGAGAAAATTCTTCTCAAGCTGACCTGTCAATATGGATGTATAATTCTTTCACTGCTTTCAACTCTTCTCAGGGCACTAAGATGGCTTTATTTATAGGACTGAATCTTCTTTGCAGAAATTACTTCCCATCACAATCTTCCCCAAACCCCAAAGAACAGGAAAAAGCTGTTCCGTAACCTGACTTTTACATATTCCCCAGGATTTGTCTTTCTGCAGAATTCCTGATCATCTTTCATGTCACAATTCACATGCCACCTCCATATAATGAAGTTTCCTCTAGCTTTTTGGCTAATTTATTTTTTTTTACCCTTTATTTCTGCTCCTATTATGCATTTGTTATGTCATCAACAATTATTTGTTTTTATATGTCTCTTATTTTGGCAGGCATTGCTAAATCCATATCTGATGTTGGTTCCTCTTCCCAACAGGACCCTCATTTTGTTTAGGGCAACAATGTTCTCATCTGAAAAAACTCTTCCGCAAACCTCTTTTGCTATGGACATAAATTTTCTTTAGCTTCACCCTCCTCCTATGTACTTGAAACTGTTTCCCCAAGTATTTTTTACGTGTATTATCATACTTATTTATTTGGACAATAAGACGTTTAATATCACAAACATATATGCGTGTATATATATGTTTGTGATTTTACATATATTTATATATATAAAATTGCTCTCTTTGTCTTTCCAGCTTATTTAAAACAAAATTACATAAAGAAATAGCTATAAAAAGATATTGTTGAGATTGTAACATAAATATACAATAAATATAACATTAGTACCACACAAAGGAGGAAAAGGGGAGTAAAGTTATGTAAGAGTAACAGTTCTATAAACAGCGTAAAGGAGGAAATAATTACACAAATTAAAATGTCAGTGGAAAATACTTACTTAGTACCAAAGAACATAGTAAAGGTGGAATAAAGAATAAAAATACATGAGCCAAACATAAAACAAAATATAAAAGAGCAGATATAAATTCAAATATGTCAATTCTAGCACTAAATATGAAAATATTAAACAAGTATCAAATAAAAAGGCAAGGACTGCCTACTAGATATTAAAACAACAGCAAAAACTGAAATATCTACCACAAACAATCTACAAAAGTAGCTTAAATCCAGAGAAACAGGATAAAAGTAAGAGGATAAAAAACTTGCAAACAGGAAACATAAGAAAGCTGGAGTGATGATATAACAATTAGACAAAATATACATTTTTAAAAACTTTTATTTTAGGTTCAGGGGTACATGTGCAGGTTTGTTACATAGGAAAATCTGCCTGTCACATGGATTTGATGTACAGATTGACACTCAGTTAATAAGTGTAGTACCCAACAAGTAGTTTTCAATCCTCACCCTCCTCCCAACCTCCATCCTCAAGTAGTACGCAAAGTCTGTTGTCCCCTTCTTTGTGTCCATGTGTATTCTATGTTTAGCTCCTAGTTATAAATGAGAACATGTAGTATTGATTTTCTGTTTCTGCATCAGTTTGCTTAGGATAATGGCTTCCAGCTACAATCAAGGTTGCCGCAAAGGCCATGATCACATTCTTTTTTATGGCTGTGTAGTATTCCATGGTATATATGTACCACATTTTCTTTATCCAGTCTAGTGTTGATGGGTGTTTAGGTTGATTTCATGTGTTTGCTATGGTTAATAGTGACAGACACATGCGTGTGTCATTATGGTAGAATGATGTATATTCCTTTGGCTATATACCCAATAATGGGATTGCTGGGTCAAATGGTATTTCTTTTTTAAATTATTGGAGAAATACCAAACTGGTTTCCACAGTGGCTGAACTAATTTAAACTCCAACCAGCAGTGCATAAGTGTTCTGTTTTCTTTGTAACCTCAACAGCATTGGTTATTATTTGACTTTTTAGTAGTAGCCATTCTGACTGGTGTGAGATGGTATCTCATCGTGGTTTTGATTTACATTTCTCTAATGATTAGTGATGTTGAGAATTTTTATATGCTTGTTGGCTGCATGAATGTCTTATTTTGAGAAATGTCTGTTCATATCCTTTGCCCATTTTTTAATATTAGACTTTTGTCAGATACGTAGTTTGAAAATATATTTTCCCATTCTGTAGGTTGTATTTTTACTCTGTTGATAGTTAATTTTGCTGTATAGAAGCTCTTTAGTTTAATTAGGTCTCATTTGTCAATTTTCATTTTTGTTGCAATTGCTTTTGGTGTCTTCATCATGAAATCTTTGCCAGGGCTTATCTCCATAATGCTATTTCTTAGGTTATTTTCCAGGATTTTTAGTTTTAGGCTTTACATTTTAATCTGTAAGGCATCTTGAGTTGATTTTTGTATGTTGTGTAAGGAAAGGGTCTAACTTCAATTTTCTGCATATGGCTAGCCAATTATCCTAGCACTATTTGTTGAATAGGGAGTCCTTTCCCTATTGCTTGTCTTTGTCAATTTTGTCAAAGATCAGATCATTGTAGATGTGTGGCTTTATTTCTGGACTCTCTAGTCTGTTCCATTGGTCTATGTATCTGTTTTTCTACCAGTACCAAGCTGTCTTCATTACTGTATTCTTGTAGTATAGTTTGAAGTTGGATAATGTGATGCCTCCAAGTTTGTTCTTTTTGGTTAGGATTGTCTTGGCTATTTGGGCTCTTTTTATGGTTCCATATGAATTTTAAAATAGTATTCTAATTTTGTGAAGAATGTCAGTGGTAGTGTGATAGGAATGGCATTGAATCTGTACATTGCTTTGGTCATTTTAACAGTATTGATTCTTTCAATTCATGAGCACAGAATATTTTTCTATTTGTTTGTGTCATCATTGATTTCCTTCACTAACGTTTTGTAATTCTCATTGTGGAGATCTTTCACCTCCCTGGTTAACTGTATTTCCAGGTGTTTTATTCCTTTTGAGGCTATTGTGATTGGGATCACGTTCCTGATTTGGCTCTCAGCTTAGACATTGTTGTTGTATAGAAAAGCTACTGATTTTTATACATTGATTGTGGATCCTGAAGCTTTGCTGAAGTTGTTTATCCAATCTAGGTGTATTTGGGCAGAGACTATGGGGCTTTCTAGGTATAGAATCATATCATCTAAAAACAGAGATAGTTTGACTTTATCTCTTCCTCTTTGGATGTCTTTTATTTATTTCTCTTGCTTGATTGCTCTGGCTAGGACTTCTAGCACTACACTGAATAGAAGTTGTGGGAATAGAAATTCTTGTTTTGATCCAATTTTAAAGATAAATACTTCCAGCTCTTTCCTGTTCAGCATGATGTTGGCTGTGGGTTTATCATAGATGGCTCTTATTATTTTGATCTTATTATTTTGAGATGTGTTTCTTCAATGCCTAGTTTATTGAGGGCTTTTAAACATGAAGGGATGTGGAATTATATTGAAAGCCTTTTCTGCATCTATTGAGATTATTATGTTTTATATTGTTAGTTATATTTATGTGATGGATCACATTTATTGATTTGTGTATGTTGAACCAACCTGTGTCTCTTGGGATAAAGCCTACTTGAACATGATGGATTAGCTTTCTGATGTGCTGTTGGATATGGCTTGCTAGTAATTTGCTAAGAATCTTTGCATTTATGTCCATCAAGGATATTGGCCTGAAGTTTTCTTTTTTGTTGTATGTCTGCCAGGTTTTGGTATTAGAATGATCCTGACCTTGTTGAATGAGTTAGGGAGGAGTCACTCCCCCTCAATTTTTTGGAATAGTTTCAGTAAGAATGGTGCCAGCTCTCTTTTATACATCTGGTAGAATTTGGCTGTAAATCTTTTTGGTTCTGGGCTTTTTCTGGTTGGTAGGGTTTCTACTACTGATTAAATTTCAGAACTCAATACTGGTCTGTTCAGGGTTTCACTTTCTTTCTGGTTCAATAATGGGATGTTGTATGTTTCCAGGAATTTATCTATTTCTTGTAGGCCTTCTATTTTTGTGTACAGAAGTGTTTGTAATATAAGTTTTTTTTTGTATTTCTGTGGGGTATGTGTTAATGTCCCCTTTATCATTTTGGATTGCATCCATTTGGATCTTCTCTTTTTTTCTTTCTTACTCTAGCTAATGGTCCATCAATCTTATTTATTCCTTCAAATAACCAGTTCATGGATTTGTTTATATTTTGTATGGTTTTCCATGTCTCAATTTCATTCACTTCAGCTGTGATTTTGGTTATTTCTGGTCTTCTGTTAGCTTTGGGGTTGGTTTGCTGTTTTTCTAGTTCCTCTAGTTATGATGTTTGGTTGTTAATTTGAGACCTTTCTAAGTTTTCAATGTGGGTGTTTAGCACTATAAAATTTCTGCTTAATACTGTATTAGCTGTGTCCTAGAGAGTCTGCTATGTTGTATTTTTTTCTCATTAGTTATAAAGAAATTTTTGATTTCTCCTTAATTTCATTTTTTACCCAAAAGTCATTCAGGAGCAGGTTAATTTCCATTTAATTATATGGTTTTGAGCAACCTTCTTAGTATTGATTTCTATTTTTATTGTGCTGTGGTCTGATGGTGTTTTGTTTGATTTTGTTTTAATTTACTGATAATTTTTCTATGGCCAATTGTATGGTCAGTTTTAGAGTATATGCCATGTGCAGATGAGAGGAATGTATACTCTGATGTTTGGGAGTGGAGAGTTCTGTATATGTCTGTTAGGTCCATTTGGTTAGGTTTTTGAGTTTAGGACCCGAATATCTTTGTTAGTTTTCTGCCTCAGTGGTCTGTCTGATAATGTCAGTGGGATGTTGATGTCTCCCATTATTAGTGTGTTTATCTAAGTCTCTTTGTAGGTCTCAAAGAACCTGTTTTATAAATCTGGGTGCTCCTGTTTTGGGTACATATACAAAGGCTTATCTCAGCACTCCTGGGCTGTGTGCTGTAACTCTGGGAGCTGGTAGTGGGCCCCAGGTTTGTTCTCTGGCCCCTCAAGATTAGGAACATCCGTGCTGGAGGGACTGAAGTGTTCCTGGTCTGCTGGCCACAACATTCCTATTGGGGGTGCTGTCAAAAGCACCTCATCGGGGCCAGGGTGGTGGGATGCACTTGTACTAGCAGTGGTGGTGTAGTGGGGTGCACATGGACACTAATGCCAGCAGGGGAGGAGAGGGGAGATCTGCCTGCACACATGTCCTGGCAAAGCAGTGGAACAAGTTGTGGGTGAGTACATGCCAGCAAAGTGGCAGGGGAAGGCTGTGATGGGGGGAGAGTGCAGGTGGGCTGGTACATTTCAGTGGAAGCTGGTCTGCTATAGTTCCTTGATGGTCAGGCACAGTCTGACAGTGAAGGAGCTATGATAAGGGCCCCCAGGAAGCACCCTGGTTGGGCATCCAAGGCTGTGGTGCAAGCAGGCATGGCCAGACTAGGGCTACTGGAAATGACAGTAGACAGGAAGTTGCTCAGATCAGACTAGTCCTGTCCTATGAGCAAGACAGCCCTGCTCTGCCCAAGTCTAATAGTTACCCAAAGGCTAAATTATTCTAGAGGATCACTGTAAGCCTTGGAGTGTGGGGATCCCAAGTTGTGCTCAACTGTGGCAGTCCCCATGCCAAACCCTCGGGGCTCTACACAGCCTGGAGTCCTGCCCCTTCCTCCTAAGCGGCTCTCCCTGCCATCATTAGCTTATTTAATCCCCACAATGTGATTCTCTCAGTTAAATACAATTGTTATCTCCATTTTACATGTAATTAAACTGAGCTACAGAGCAATTAAGGAAATTGCCCATGGTCTCAGGTAGTAAGTGCCGGTTCTGAAATTTGAACTAGGAAGACCTTAGAATTTGTGCTCTTTTGGGGTTGCTCTTCTTGAGGAGTATCTTTGTGGTGTTCTCTGTATTTCCTGAATTTGAATGTTGGCCTGTCTTGCTAGGTTGGGGAAGTTCTCTTGGATAACATCCTGAAGTGTGTTTTCCAACTTCGTTCCATTCTCCCCGTCGCTTTCAGGTACACCAATCAAATGTAGGTTTGGTCTTTTCACATAGTCCCATATTTCTTGGAGGCTTTGTTCGTTCCTTTTCATTCTTTTTTCTCTAATCTTGTGTTCGTACTTTATTTTATTAAGTTGATCTTCAAACTCTGATATCCTTTCTTCTGCTTGATGGATTGTGCTGTTGGTACTTGTGTATGCTTCACAAAGTTCTCGTGCTGTGTTTTTCAGCTCCATCAGGTCATTTATGTTCTTCTCTAAACTGGTTATTCTAGTTAACAGTTCCTCTAACCTTTTATCAAGGTTCTTAGCTTCCTTGCATTGGGTTAGACCATGCTCCTTTAGCTCAGAGGAGTTTGTTATTATCCACCTTCTGAAGCCTACTTCTGTCAATTGGTCAAACTCATTCTCCATCCAGTTTTGTTCCCTTGCTGGCGAGGAGTTGTGATACTTTGGAGGAGAAGAGGCATTCTGGTTTTTGAAATTTTCAGCCTTTTTGCACTGATTTTTTCTCATCTTCGTGGATTTATGTACCTTTGGTTTTTGCCATTGGTGACCTTTGGATGGAGTTTTTGTGTGGACGTCCTTTTTGTTGATGTTGGTGCTATTGCTTTCTGTTTGTTAGTTTTCCTTCTAACAGGCCCCTCTTCTGCAGGTCTGCTGGAGTTTGCTGGGGGTCCACTCCAGACCCTGTTTGCCTGGGTATCACCAGCGGAGGCTGCAGAACAGCAAAATTGCTGCCTGCTCCTTCCTCTGGCAGCTTTGTCCCAGAGGGGCACCCGCCAGAAGCCAGCCTAAGCCCTCCCGCATGAGGTGTCTGTTGACCCCTGCTGGGAGGTGTCTTCCAGTCAGCAGGCACGAGGGTCAGAGACCCACTTGAGGAGGCAGTCTGTCCCTTAGCAGAGCTCGAGCACTGTGCTGGGAGATCTGCTGCTCTCTTCAGAGGCGGCAGGCAGGAAAGTTTAAGTCTGCTGAAGCTGTGCCCACAGCTGCCTCTTTCCCCAGGTGCTCTGTCCCAGGGAGATGGGAATTTTATCTATAAGCCCCTGACTGGGGCTGCTGCTGCATTTCCTTCAGAGATGCTCGGCCCAGAGAGGAAGAATCTAGAGAGGCAGTCCAGCTACAGCAGCTTTGCAGTGCTGCTGTGAGCTCTGCCCAGTCTAAACTTTCTGGAGGCTTATTTTACACTGTGAGGGGAAAACAGCCTCCTCAAGCCTCAGTAATGGCAGACGCCCCTCCCCCACTAAGAGCCAGTGTCCCAGGTCAACTTCATACTGCTGTGCTGGCAGTGAGAATTTCAAGCCAATGGATCTTAGCTTGCTGGGCTCTGTGGGGGTGGAATCTGCTGAGTGAGACCACTTGGCTCCCTGGCGTCAGCCCCTTTCCAGGGGAGTAAACCGTTCTGTCTCACTGGCATTCCAGGTGCCACTGGGGTATGAAAAAAAACTCCTGCAGCTAGCTTGGTGTCTGCCCAAATGGCCACCCAGTTTTGTGCTTGAAACCTAGGGCTCTGGTGGCATAGGCACCTGAGGGAATCTCCTGGTCTGTGGGTTGCGAATACCATGGGGAAAGTGTAGTGTCTGGGCTGGAACGCACCATCCCTCACGGCAAGGTCCATCACGGCTTCCCTTGGCTAGGGGAGGGAGTTTCCCGACCACTTGTGCTTCCCAGGTGAGGTGACACCCCACCCTGCTTCGGCTTGCCTTCTGTGGGCTGCACCCACTGTCTAACCAGTCCCAATGAGATGAACTGGGTACCTCAGTTGGGAATGCAGAAATCACCCACCTTCTCCATTGATCTCGCTGGGAGCTACAGACCAGAGCTGTTCCTATTCGGCCATCTTGCCTGGGAATTCAAATTTGTGCTCTTTTAACCACCATGATATATGATACCTTTTTACATTGAGAAAGGCCACATGGTAAGGAATGTTAATATGGGAAGCTAGCAGGAGCTCACTGGTCTTTGAAGGCATTGTCAACCTATTAAGACAGATCTGGAATACCTATCCTTGGGATTTTAATTGCATAAGATAAACTCTTACCTACCTAATCCACTGAAGCAGGACTTTTTGTTATTTACATTCAAATGTAATCTTGATGGACCCTGATTAAGCTGATGGCACTTCCATAACCAGTTCTCTTCTTTTTATAAATTAATGTGCCTAACAGAGTGTTGGCATTCAAGAGTATTAAAAATATCTGATATTAGGTGCTTTCCAGGCATCATACACTATGTTACTCCCCATACATATGTTGTTATCTCCCTATATGGCCACTGCAAAACTAAGAGGGAGGTAGGCAGTATATAGTTTTTAAGATTTAGAAAACTTCCATTCCATGACAGTCAACCTGTTCCAAGGCAAAGTTTTCTTGTGATGGTAATTGATTTCTTTCATTCCGTATCCTGTGCCTTTGAATCTCAGGGGCTTCTGCCTTTCCGAAGGAAGAACATCTAAGTTATTGTTTCCATTAAGTAATATTTTCCTTTCTCCAAAGGAAATGATGAATCTAAACAGATAAAACAGCTCACTCCAAATGTACCTGATACCACATGAGTTCTCAATGTATTTGAATTATAGCAATGTGTTAATTACCGATAGCTAAATCAGAAGCTACATCTCTAGGGATGTATGTATTTCAAAAAACTTCTGTGGTAATGATAATTCTTCCTTCTGAAAGCTGAATGAATGATGCTGACAAGTAGTATTCCAGAATGTCAGAAAACATGTGGTGTGGGCAATTTGGTTAGGAACCACAAATGATTTTCTACTGTCTATATGTAAATTTATCTCTAATCATAGAGTGTTTGCTTCATTGTTAAATATTCTATTGTTTTCCAAATATTGGCATATTTTTTCATATATTTTATTTGCCTATTAAAATTGAAAAATAAGGCAGGCATTTTCTATTTTAATCAAACCCTATAGGTCAATACTCATTTGATAATATCTCACTTAGCATTTTTCTGTTTTTGGAGTTTAATTTTAATAGTTTATTTAATGCAATCACATTTTTACCTTAACTCTTATTTTGGATATTAACAAAAAGAAATACAATTAAAATGTGGAAAATGTCTTATTTTCTCTCTACATTTTCCGTAGGCACTGTTGAAGCATATTCCTCACTGGAATGTGAAGTAACTTGGCAGCAGGGCTTCAGTTCTCCAGAAGAAGGAGAATTTATTCTTCATGTCTTTCAAGGAAACGCGTTGAAGCTAAAATGTGTTGCACATGTAATTATTTTCCTTGAACATGGTTTTTGTTTTGAGGGCTATGAATTTGTTGGGTATACACTGGTGTATATAGTTACCTATATCTAGAATTAACTGTAAAACCCAAGACTTTCATGCAACAGTACTAGTTTTTTTGTTAGAGCCTCTATAAATATGTAATATCATCATGGGAGCCATTGAAATGAAATTATTTTATTAAGAGACACAAAAAGTATTTTCAGAGAATATACTTGATGGATTAAAAATGTGAGTAGAGGGAAAGCTGTAATATGCAATTTTAACCTTTTTCTGGTACAGTCCAGAGGGCCTTAAATTCATGACTCAATCACCAAGCATGATTTTACATGTGTACCAAATTTCCCACTCAATGTTCTTAGAAATATTAAAGAAGCCAAATGCTCTTTTACTAAACCCCATCTATATTTCTAGGACATGATGATACTCTTACATATTTCAGCTGTGGAGGAGTTTTTAGCCTCAAGAGATGAGAAATTCATCTACTTTTAGTGATGGCAAGTGACAGAACTCAGTATGGTTTTTCTTCTAAGCCTAAAATAAGCTGGGTCCTACTACTTTTCATTATGTGTAAATTAGTTTTATTTTTTAAAAACTTTCTATTGAAGTATAACATGCATATGTATATGTATATGTGGAGAAACATGAAGTGATTAAATAAAATATTCATTTGTTTGTCATTCATATACGAAGGCCTGATTGGTCTGTTTACTCTTCTGTTAGTTTTGTTTGAAAATTTATTATTCCAATTACCTGGATAATATTCTTCAAATAAATGTAATTATAGAGTATATTAAAACCTATGACAATAACAAATAATATTTCATATGTGAAGACAATAGGGTCTGATATAAAGAACACATAATGAGAAGTTGGAAAACTTGGATTCTAGTTCCCCTTTGGCTACTGCTTGCTTTCCTGAAAAATCGAAGAGGTGGATGATACCAACATTTCCAAAAATCAGTCTATGTTGCACTAGTTCTGTGAGGTGCTTTGTGTGAGATGAGGAGGGGGAGTCCTGACCTTAAGTAATTCTGTGAATCCCCATTTTTCGATAAGCAAAGTGCTCATTATCAGTATGTTAAGCCCCATGAGTAGACTTCTAGTAGAAACATGCCTGAATAATTTCATTTGACACCTTCTTTTCCATACTTAGGTGAGCCTTCAACTCTTTCCTTTTGCACTGCACATGGTAACACCTTGTACATAGTTGTTTAGATACTGTCTAAGATCCCTTTCAGTGATTAATCTACACAATTCTTAGTCATGGGTCTACTTTCTTAATAGAATTATCTTATTCCTTTTGCCTTACCTAGTTTGGGAGTATATTTTAAATATTCCATTCATTTTCCTTTCTCTTAAGCACTCCACAAAATCTGGTAACACTTTTTATTTTAAAAGTCACTATGAAGCTGAAAAAAATTGTGTCATGTCTTAAAGTGAAAAATATATTTTTTATAGCTTCATTACCTTCTCTTCTTTCCCCATGAGGAGAATTGACTTTACTTCCTTGTTCATAGTTAGGAGTTTTTTCAACTGTAAAGAGACCACACAAGATTGACACATTAAAAACTGCATATGTTTGTTGAAATATATTTATACATGTTTTGTGGAGCTGGCGAATGTTATGTAATCATTGTATGACTTAGACAAAATACTTAATCACCCGAAATTTTGGTTTCTTCCACTGTAAAATGTGATAGTACCATCCATTCATTCATTTAACATTTATTTATTGAGCCCCTACACTGTACTAGGCCCCATATAGGCTCTGTGTATTTAAAGATGGATAACATAAGCATAGTCTAGCTTCCCTCTGAGCACTTTCTGGACTAGTAGACCATAGTGGAAATGTAAGTAAAAATTAATCATATATCTGGTTAATACTGGGTACACAATAATATTATTATTACTATTATCCCCATTATTTATGATTACCACCAGTATCTAGATATTTTACCTAAAAATATCTAAATATCTAAATTCTAAATATCTAAATATTTAGTTACTATTACAGCCAAAATATCTAAATAAAATATCTCCTGTGATGTTATTACCCCATCTTAACTAGATTATCACAGATTTAGTTTAAATTTTGGAAAATAAAATTATTATACCTTGGGTACTTTTTCATCAAAACTAGCATATAAAGTCCTGATTTGTGATTTATTTTGCATGTTAGAACATACTGAATAAAGAATATAGGAGTATTATAATTTTTATTTTCTTTTAGTATTTATATCTTTGGTTAATATATATTCAAAATTAGAATATTTTTGTGACCAAAACAATTAAACAAAGTATTTTATTTACCATTAATTCAATTGTGTTTTTTCTTTCCTCCTCTCGTTATTAGCTTGGTCGCACCAAGGTTTTACTTTTGCAGCCAAGGATACTCTTTAGTAATTGCCCTCAAGGTTTAACAACTTGGAGGAAAGCCATTCTTCAAAATGTAGGACAAAACCATGCTTATTTCAAGGTAACATAGGATGTTGGTAATTTCTTATTTGGATCAGATGACATGGTCATAATGCTGTGAAGTTAATACTTTATTCTTCACTTTTGCTAATTTTTAGATACTTCACATTAAATTTACCTGAGTATAGTTCATCTAGTTTGTCCTCTTAATTTCTTGTAAGAACAATTTTTCTCACTACCTTCCTTAGCCTCCCTGTTTCTTCTCTTTTCCCTTTTATTCTTTCTGTTATTTGGTTTTATTGAAAAAATAGATGTTTATGTTTTAAAATATACATTATTAATTAATGTTACACTCCATATTTAGTTATATGATTTTCCTTTTCATTTCAGTCTGTAATCAGGGCCATGATGGTAGCACCTGGGAACTAGATCAAGGCCATTCTGGAGAGAGTATGTTTATGGTTGTTGCTCCTGATTTAAATGGAAAGAGGAGCAAAGTGGTGATTTTTTTTTTTAAATTGAAAAATGTAGTAAGACCGGCTTCCCCTCCCAGTAATAGTAATAGAGTTTAGCATTTGAGATTTTCCATTCAAGCTTTACATTAATGTGTTTTTTTCTGCCCAAATTAAGTCTTTAGCAAAACTGAAAAATGAGGATGATCTTTTCTACTCTGCTTCTTTAGAATTAATTCTTACCTACATAGTCTATTTGTTCCTTTAGTCCCAAAAACCTCTTGGCCATTTTTCCTTTAAATTATTCTAGCTTAAAGCATGGTAAATAGGTTTAAATTGGCCTATGAAAATCCATAGAATAAATAATTGATAAGTTACTTAGAAGTTTTCTGAAGATCAAAATGATATCTTAGACATTAGGCTTTCTGTCAAGGAAATAAACAAGAGATTACTTCATCATCCTACCTCCTCACTAACATTATTTTGAGTTTTTAGGATCAGGGAAAGACAGACTCTCAAAAGTAGTATCTAGAATGTTGTCATCTTCTCGAACAGAAATATCATCTTTATAAATTTTGCTGTCTTGAAAGCACTCCAGATAATAAACTTCAGCATCCTATTTGAATTGGAAGTTGTCACTACCAAAGGTTCTGTTTTCTTGGATAGGGTTGCAGTTTCTTGTTTTAGTCCAAACTATTTGTACCTTTGGTATTTTCAAACACTATTACAAAATCATTTTATGTCCTGTGCCTGGAGATCTTCTCTCTAGGTAGTGGCATGGAGGCTTTCCTATGAAAGCTTTGAAACTATAATTTTAAAGAATAATGTATCATTTCTGCAAATTTTCAATTACAGGTTTGTAGTCAGAGTCTTTTGCCTATCATTAATATTATTCCATCGCAAGGAATAGTTCCATTTGGGGGAATAACTGTTCTCAATATCTCCTGTAAACCCACTGTGGCAGAAAAGTTTGATACAAGAGCAAAGGTATGTCCATACATATGAGTTTTTGCACCTTACATATGTCTATGTGGGTTTGTTGGTTGTTTAACTTATCTATAATGGTAGGTATAATGCTACAAAATGGAGTACACATGTTTATTATTAGAAAACTTGTTTTAATTCTTTCTTCTATTGGGAATGGGATTTAAAGTTATGACATTAAAGAGCAATTTTCAAAAAGTATATTATTTTTCTAGAAATTAAGTTAGCTTTAAAGAAGTAGAGTTTTTGGAGATTTAAAAAAGCACTTAGCTTTATCATCTAATGAAAAATTGGATAGCAGAACTTGGAGAGGATTTGCAGAAAATATTTTTGATGAAGTTGGTAATGGAAATTTCTACTAAGTTGAAATGGATACCTTCCATCAATATGAGGCACTTTCTTATGAAATTGAAATGATAGTTGTCATTTCTGAGTTTTGACGAACCTAGATAGCCACAGAGAAGAGGGTTGCTTTTTTCAAAGCATTAGTTAGGTAGATTAGGAAAAAAATAATCAATTTTGCAATGCTAATTCTAAAGAGTCTTAATAATATGAATTATATGTAATTTCTATATGATTTTAACATCTATATTTTAGAGCACACATAAAATGTTTTACTGCTTTATGTTCTCGGAATTATGTAAATGAAAAATATTACCCTGGGCCAGGTGTGGTGGCTCACGCCTGTAATCCCAGCACTTTGGGAGGCTGAGGCAGGCAGATCACAAGGTCAGGAGATCGAGACCATCTTGGCTAACATGGTGAAACCCCATCTCTACTAAAAATACAAAAAATTAGCCGGGCATGGTGGTGGGCACCTGTAGTCCCAGCTACTCGGGAGGCTGAGGCAGGAGAATGGCATGAACCTGGGAGGCGGAGCTTGCAGTGAGCTGAGATCACATCACTGCACTCCAGCCTGGGCAACAGAGCGAGACTCCGTCTCAAAAAAAAAAAGAAAGAAAAATATTACCCTGATATTAGGCACTTCTGTAAGTGATAAATAAAATATGTAAGACAGGTATGTGTAAAATTTAATTGTAAAACTCAAAGACTAGAGTGTTCTTGGTCAATCTTATGATCAACTGTTTGTATTTACTCACATTAAAAATAATATATACACTGTTATCAGATCAAAATGAATAACTTTAAGTATATCTTACATGTTATCCCTGAATAGACCATAACAATACATGAGTAAATAATAGGTAACTTAATATAATAAAAACTGATTTCCCCAACCCTTGAACAAATCACTTAAGAATGATATCTTATTTTCATAAATAAATGTGTTGAAAATGTTTATAAATTATATATTATGATATGTTATCTGAGACTTGGGTAGAATACTTTTAAACACAATATCTGGGAAAAATAAAAAAAATGGCCACCAAAAATGTAGGTTTTACTAAACTTAATTCTCACTATATTTTAGAGGATTATGCTGGGTTTTTTTTCTAATCTTACCTTTATTAACATTATAGTATAATGAGACTCATTTATTCATTCATTCAACATTCACATTATGCACTAATCTCTTGTAAATGTTAAGGATGCAATGATGAACAAGATAACCAGGGTCTTTGATGTCAAAGAGCCTACAATCTGGTGGGTAATATAAACAACTCAATAAATAATTAAAATACACTATCATAAGTATTGTGATGAAGAAATGTTGCAGGCTAAGGAAGTACACAGGAGAGATACACAACCCAGTCTTAAATTATCAGAGACAGCTCCCTAGGGGAAGGTATATCTAAAAGACACCTGAAGTTAAGAATAAGTTAAGAATAAGCCAGATTAAAAGGATGGAAGCGGGGTGTAAGGGGAGAGGAGGAAAGGTTATTCAAGGCTAGCATGTGTTAAGGCTTGTGTGAGAGAGAGAGCTGCAATGCAGACATAAGAAACTTAAAGATTAACATGACTAGATTATACTACCAAATGGATGATAGTGGGAAAAAATGTACTTATATGACCCGTGTAAGTTTTAGATCATACAGGGCCTTATCAACATTAAGAAATCCAGGCTTCATTTTAAGAGGTAGGAGTTTTAACTACGGGGATTTCACAATGAGATTTGCATTTTTTAGAGATCACTTTGGTGGTAGAGCAGTAAGCTGGGACCAGAAAGATGGAATGCAGAGTTATTAGTCTGGTGAAGAGGTCCAGGCAAGAGAAACTGGTGAGAAACTGATAAATATATGGGGATTGGTGATTGAAAAGGGGTCCCATGTAAATAAAATGGGTATGTCAAGAGTGAGGCAGATGGTGGCAACATTTAGAGAGAAAGAGATCAGAGTGTGAGTAACACCCTATTAGAGGAAAACGTTTGCTTGAATTGGAGGCATCTTTTGATTGTAGAGATGTCTAGTAAAGAGGCAGCCACATATATATACTGGTCTGAAGGCTAACGATTCATCATAGAGATGAAAGAGAATGTTTCTACTGTTGCTCTATGGGTCCAGATGTGTGTAAGTGAACCAAATATATAATTGAGAAGTTGGAATGATAAAAGTTGAAAGAAATTGAATAAAGGAAAATATAGAGGAGAAAGGTGAATTGGGGTTGATTGGGAGAATATTACATACACATCACAGGCTTCAAAGTCTCTTCGATATGTGACATCCAGGAACTGTTCTCTCTGAAAATGAGTGAGAACGCAAGGGAGAGAGGGAGTTGTAAAAATGAGACAGATGAATGAATTTATGGTTTCAGAGGTTGTGCATTTATGAGGAGTGATGTTGTCCAGGGTGTAGTTTAAGTCTCTAGAGATGAAAATGTCAAGAGACCAGTGGTCTTGGGTGGTGAATAAGCTATGACAGCCAGGAGTTTTGGATGAATAAGGAATGATTGGGAGGTGAGTAAAAGGCAGCCATAGGGAGTTGGGACTTGTGTATGGGGTTTATTAATGAAGAACACATCAATTTGTAATTTTCTCTGAAGCATTAAGTTATGCTTCTTTTGATTTTAGTCAAATATGTTTTTTATGTATTATATACTCTGAATAAAATGTGGCAATCATATAGCATTATGAATATAGCTACTTTAATAAGGCTATCTAGCTGGCATATTGATTTTCCCAGTAATTCTGAAAAATGGTATTTTGTGGTTTCTTTGCATATAAACAGTATCAGTGATTGTGGAAGAGTGAAATACACTCGCTTTACTTTCTTAGATATAATATACATTTAAATTTAAATCTAGACCTTGACTCTTTCCTGTGCTTATACAGACAGGGTTTCCAAGGAATTATAGGTTTACACTTCTGAGACTTTGCTTGAGCAACTATATGCTCAGATACTCTATAGCTCTTATTTTGTAGGAATTATACAACTAAATTCTTAATTTGCTATTTTAATTTTCTTGAAAGCAATAAAATGTTCAGGCAGCCCTTAGTTTAGCTGCTGCTGCTTTCAAGTTTGTGATCTCATGAAAAAGACAAAATACTTGGCCTCTGCAAGAGTCAGTTTCCTCAGTTTAAAATTAGGAGTATTAACAGTCGTTATCTAATAGAATACTGAGCACTAAAAAGGATTTCACTGTACTTGACCCATATACACAGCAATTTTTAGTTAGTCTCATTACTATTATGGTTGTTGTGCATATTTGTATCTTTCTAGGGGAAGATATATACTGCAACCATTCTCCTGTTGTTTTTTAAAAATTTTGAATAATGCTTTGAAATTAGATAAATAAAAATTGTACTGCAAGGAGTGGCAATAAAGTTTAGTCAAATAGGTAGAACTCTGCTTTCAAATTCACAAACCATCAGCTAATCACATTTATGGTGGTTCTAAGGGGTCAAACACTCACTTAGGAGTATCAATTCTGCAAAACAAGAAATGTGATGACAATTACCAGAAAAAATCTTGTGCATTTATAATATGTTACTATTATTTAAATGAAAAAAGTTATATACATGCCAGGTAATACTTCAGCAACTTATGATTATATTTTAATGTGGTTTCTACAAAGTTTTTATTTCTCCTAAATAAGGTTTCTATTCGTCATGCGAATGTTATAGACCTTAGGATTGGTGGATCTGCTGAAATTGCTGATGTAGAAATCAATCCTGTGAGTATGTTACTTATTTGTGTGATGAAACTCTGAGTGTGGTGATTTTTATTTGTTATGTGTTTCTAGTTAGCCCATTTATGTTAAAAATATTTTCCAATGTATAATTTTTAAAAATTACTATATACAAAGTTAAAAATTAATAAAAATTAATATATGTCATATAAATGTAAGTGTTGAAACAGAATATTGAATGAAGGTTTAAGAATTTACCACTGAATGTAAGGATCAGAACACTACCAGTACCATTAAAATCATCTTCATTATGGTCCTGTCCCTTATAAGAGATAACCACTTGCCTAAAATGACACCACATAAATATGAATATGAATGCTTTCATTGTTGATTATTTAGTTTGTTTGTTTTTGAGCTTTATAACAAAGATGTACTATTTGTAGCCTTTGGTGAGTTACTTTTACTTAAATATTGTGTTTTCAACATTCACCTAAATTGTGTGTAATGGTATGTTAATCATTGTCATACTGCATAATAGTTATTTGTGTAGACATACTATAATTTACATGATCATTCAGTTGTTCATCCCAATAGGTATTTCTGGGTTTTTTTTAAACACAAAAACTGTAGCTGTGAACATTTATATGCTTATCTTCTGAGGTACACATACAAGAGGTTCTCTCGGAATGGAGTTATTGAGACATAGAGTTATGAGTGTGTTTAACTTCACAAGACTATTCCTAAAATGTCCTAATTTCCATTGCTTCAAATTCTATTATTCTACAAGTTATATTGTCAGATTTAAATTTTGCCAATCTATTGAGTATAAAATGATACCTCACTGTGGTATTGATTTTCATTTTCTGAACTAGAATCACATTTATTTTTGCATTATTGTATGTACCCTGAAAAAATTTTGTTCTATAATTGATAGAGTGCACACACACAGACAAACACATACACCACTTTTTTGTTGTTGTTCTTGCCAGCGCTTTAGTGTTTAGATCTGGACTTACCTATTCAAAGAAACTTTCCTTGATTCTTCAAAGTAGGGCCCCCTCATTGTGACATTTATAAGGTATTACAGAAATCTTATACCCTGGGAACATCACCATCAGAGCAGTTGTCATATTATTTTGGGGCTATTTGTACTTTTGTTTTTTCTCCCACTAGTACTGTTAACATCTACCACCATACTGGTGTGGAGCTAAATTGAGCAGAAATTGATGATAAAGAGGTCAGCTTGCTGCCTCAGGTAGGGGGCTCACTGCTAGTCTGCATTTAAATGGCATCACCAAAATTCCAGTGTATGGCTTTAACTTATACTTTTATAACCTTTCTTTATTCAGTGGTGAAGGCATAAGTCCAGGTAGACTGACAAATACTAAGTTAGCTTGTCCAAGGCTGTGGTGATTCCTGGAGGTTAAACTCTGTAGTATCCAGAGTGTTTTTTGCATTACTATGGCATCCTTCCTTGAAAAATATTAGATAATATTGAGTCTTTTATCACTTTCTTTTCTCATCCTAAAGTCATTTTGGGCATGCTTTGCATGTTATGGTACAACTGAATAATTTATAGGACTTTAATATATTTTATCAATATTCCCTTATAGCATTTTAGACATAGCTGACTTTAAAAAATAATATTCACACATCACTAGATATTTTTAGCTATACATTTATTAACTATACAGTAATGGCTAAGGCATTGACTATGTGTCTTAATAACAATTAGGACATTTTACTCAAATGAGCACATATACAATGCTCATTTGCATATATGCTCATTTGAATGGGATAACAAGAGTGATTATTTTTACATATACAAAACATCAAACTTTCATTTTCCATTTTGGATTTTACAAATTTTACATATACAACTGCGTTGACATTTTAAATGAAACAAATAGCCAGTCTACTTTCATACGGAATTCTCCTCAATATTAGGATGCTGTTGTCTCGATCTCCTTTAAATGTTGTATGTAATTCTATCACTAAGAAACTCCATGGTATTTTAGTAACTCTACTACAAGGAGGAATTCTAAAGAGTTTTGTGATATAAGCACATGCCTTGTGTGTGAGCTACAGCTCAGATACACTTAATAAACATTCCTTGTTTATTTAAGGTAGATGTTGGATAGGTGCTAGGGATACAAAAATGAATCACGCTAAGGTCCAGTAGAAGAGACAGATAAGTAAATAAATACATAAATAAGTTATGTGATATCATAATATAAGTAAATAAAAGAAACAGAGTTGGTCCTGAGCACAGCATGATTAATTGTGGTTTATCCATCTGGGGTTTGAAGGATGTGTAATATTTTATTAGGCAATTGCAAGTTACAGAAAGGCTTTCCTGATAGAAGGGGCACCAAAAGGGTGAAGACACAGAAGGGTGAAGCATCAGGTGTTGGTTGGAAATACCAAGTCATACAGCTTGCTGAAATATTAAGTTATCACTTAATAGAGTGGAGCTAGTTGAAGCTGGAACATGAGGCAGCAGAAGACCATGGTGAACTTTATGAGCCCTGCTAATGAGCTTGGACATGGTCCTGTAGATTGTGAGAAACCATCAAATTTTAAAACAAGAAGCGATATGATCAAATTCTTAATTAGTTTAAATATGGCTTCATTATGAAGGGGAGAGTTTGAGAAAAGTAAAAATCTAGAAACTAAATGAAAAGTGATGATTTACTAATTTCATACAGTTACAATATGGACAAGAGGTGAAGAAAGGGGAAGAATTAATAGGATTTATTAACTTATTACATGTAGGAGGCATAGAGGAGGTGGGGGAGAGGAAGGAAAATGTGACAAATTTTTATAGGGTTCTGCTTTGTAGTTAATAATTTCCTTGATAAATATAATATTGCAAGTTTTAGTTTACATTTTCATAAACTATTCTATTTTCTAATTATTTTTATTTTTTAAATTTTAGGATGTATTTAATTTCAGTGGCGCCTATATTGGTGGTACCCAGATTATTCCATTTGTAATAAAAAACAAAGGTATAACACGTGCCAGAGTGGAGTTTAATCTAAAAGACTTTCCGGATTTTTCAATGGATCTTAAAGACAAATCAGGTATATATTTTGTATATAATGGTATTACTGTAAAAGGAAAACAGTTTTAAATTGCCCTGTGGTATAATTTCTAAAACTAATTCAATCAAGGGAAGTTCTTCTTAAATGTTTTTAATGACCACTGCATGTTTTTCTTACACTCTGTAACTCATCATGGTTTTATTTGTAGAAATACATCATTATTAATATCAAAACACTTTGGTAATACATGAAACGTAACCGTTCTTATTAGTGTGTTAAATATGCTAAGTTAAGTATGTTATATATAAGTATATGCCTTAAATGAACATAAAATTATGAATCGCTTGTTTTAATTGCTCAATAATTTTAGATAAATGTCTTTGGGGAGCTATCTCTATATGTTTACTCATGTATTAGATATCTTGATGTTAAATTAGATTTAAACAAAATACGCATTTTTGTAAGTTTACTCCATAGGTTGTCAAAATAAGACCTATGAGCCAAATATGAGCCATCACCTGTTTTTATAAATAAGGTTTTATTAGAACACGCACAGACCCATTTGTTTGTATAATGCTTATGGCTGCTTTTATGCTATACTGGCAGAGTTGAAAAGCTGTGATAGGAACCATATGTCTCACAAAGCTTAAAATATTTACTATCTGGATTCTTACAGAAGGTTTCCTAATCATTGGTTTAGTCATTTATTATTCATTAAATATTTGTTGAATCCCAATTACAGGCAAGATAGTAGCGTTTGAGTCCATACAAATAAGTAAGACATCTTACATATCCTCAAAAAGTGAAAAGTAAGTATATCAGTGAGGTAATGGATATGCATTTGTATTACTTACGGACTCTTTGAGACATCAAAGGAGATCTGACTCTTCCCTGATCAATTTTCACTGGAAAGGGAGTCTCCTAGCTGTTCCGGGACCTAAGATTTAGTTAATTACTTGACCTTGCCCTTTATTCCTATTTATATTCATCTGAGTATGACTATAACATGCTTCTTGAACTTTGGAGTTATTTTTTAATGAGTTTACTGTCACTGTTTTGCCAATTGAATGTATATTTGTTCCATGTATAGATATCAATTTTGCTAATTAGAATCTTGGTATTTAGAACAATTCTTTACTGAGCATCTTCACATAGCCCTGCACAAATATTTTAGAAATTGATTTTTGATTGTTATGAATATGTGTACTTTTTCACCTCTTACAGAAGAATTTAAAGACCCTGCAGTTCCTTATATATATTCTTTGGAATTAGAGGAAAATACATCTCTGGAATGTAGCATAACATTTTCTCCCAAAGAAGTAAGTTCAGTTTTCTATTCCTCATATTACTGCAGTTATGGGTATTCCGAACCAAAAACCTATTAAAGATCACCCAAGATCTATCTGTGGAGGGTTTTTCTTTCTGACTTGTAAGCATGCCTGGGTATACCTTAATTCAGTAAAACGATTGCTGGAGGGTTTGGCTCATGCTGCAGAGTGCCTCAAGAGGAGTGGAGGGCATGTACAGGGGACCTATGATTGTGTGGTCTTTGTTATACTATCTAGAAAATTCAAGATATTACACATTTTGAAGGAGAGGAAAGTTATATTCCAGGCAGTTGGTGCTTTGTACTTATATTTGAGTGGTGTATGCTCTGTGAACCACTACCTGAAATTGTCAAAGACATATTGTGAAGATTTAAGAGGAGTTGCTATGATATTGGCTCCTTTTATATTGTACCCCTTGATGTTTAGTGATTTAAAAACAAGAGCAAACAAACAGACAAAAAACCTATTCTGAAATGTGCCCAGAAGGAAGGGAGACCACTGGTCAGGTTTCAGGAGCCAACTCTAGCAGGCTTTTGCTTCACAGATTCTCTAACAGAAGTGCCCAACGAGAGAGCTTCTCTCTACGCATGATATGAAAGTGCATATAGCCCTATAATCCCAGCACTTTGGGAGGCCGATGCCAGCGGATCACCTGAGGTCAGGAGTTTGAGACCAGCCTGACCAACATGGCAAAACCCCATCTCTACTAAAAGTACAAAAATTAGTGTGGTGGCAGGCGCCTGTAATCCCAGCTACTCAGGAGGCTGAGGCAGGAGAGTCGCTTGAACCTGGGAGGCAGAGGTTGCAATGAGCCAAGATCGCGCCATTGCACTCCAGCCTGGGCAACAAGAGCGAGATTTCGTCTCAAAAAACCAACCAACCAACCAACAAACAAACAAAAAACTGCATATTAGTGTATCCTTCCAAGCAAGAATCAAACTTCTATGTGGCAATCAGAGTATAAGATTCTTATGTCAAAACTTTTTTTTAATACACCAACATAACTAAATTGATTCTGCTCAATAGGTATAGATTAGAATTAAGAGAAAATAACTAATACACAATAAAATTGTATTGAATGCTACTAAATGCTATCTTTAATAATCTAATTTTTGGTAATGTTATTTTTACTGAGATTAAATTTTATTTCAGGAAAAATGTAAGCTGTTATTTGGCTTTCAGATGGAAAAAATAAAGTTTGAGGATGAGTTTGAATATTAGAAAATGATAAAGATTAATTTTGCTATTTTGAAGTTCAGTACTTCAGTTGAGATAAGATAATGTTGAATAGAAAAACATATTTGTCTTGTTCCTGAAAGCATGTATCTTACACCTTTAAATATAAGGTTAGCAACAGTTATCTTTTTTAAAAAATTTCCTTTATTAGGTTGAGGAAGTTTCCTTTTATAGTTTATTGAGTATTTTGATTTTGAAAGACCTGGATTTTGTTAATTTTATTATCCACTTTGATGGTCACGTTTTTGTCCTTTATTATATTAATATAGTATATTATATTGATTGATTTTTTTAATGTTAAACCAACCTTGCATTGTGGAATAAATCTCACTAGATCATAAGATATAATTCTTTTTATATATTGCTGAATCCAATTCCCTAGTACTTTGATGAAGGCTTTTGCATCTATACTTGTAAGGAACATTGGTCTGTAGTTTGTTAGCCTTATTGTTTTTTTTTTTCTTCTGATACCTTTGTTTTGAATATCAGGCTAATATTGGCTTCTTAGAATGAATTATAGAGTGGTGTCTCCACTTCTATTTTGGCAGAATTTGTGAAGGACTGAATTAATTATTTAAATTAGTCTTATAATTCATCATTGAAGTCATCTAGTCCTCAGCATTTTTTTTTAAAAAATATTAATTTTAAACTAGGTATTGAAGGAACACACCTCAAAATAATAAGAGCCATCTATGACAAACCCACAGCCAACATCATACTGAATGGGCAAAAGCTGGAAGTGTGACCCTTGACAACCAGCAAAGACAAGGATGCTCTCTCTCACTACTCCTATTCAACTTAGTATTATAAGTCCTGGCCAGAGCAATCAGGCAAGAGAAAAAAATAAAGGGCATCTAAATAGGAAGTCAAATTATCCCTGTTTTCAGACGACATGATTCTATATATAGAAAATCACATAGTCTCAGCCCAAAAGCTCCTTAAGCTGATAAACAACTTTAGCAAAGCTGGAGGATACAAAGTCAGGGTACAAATCACTAGCATTTCTTTCTTTTTCTTTTTTTTTTTTTTTTTTTTTTTTAGATGGAGCCTCACTCTGTCACCCAGGTTGGAGTGCAGTGGTGCGATCTCAGCTCACTGCAACCTCCACCTCCCCGATTCAAGTGATTCTCCTACCTCAGCTTCCCGAGTAGCTGGGAGTACAGGCATGTGCCACCACACCCGGCTAATTTTTGTATATTTTTTTAGTAGAGATGGGGTTTTGCTATATTAGCCAGGCTGGTCTCGAATTCCTGACCTCAGGTAATCTGCCCACCATGGCGTCCCAAAATGCTGGGATTACAGGCGTGAGCCACTGCACCAGACCAAAAACCACTAGAATTTTTATACACCAACGACCAAGCCAAGAGCCAAATCAGGAAGGCAATTTAATTCACAATTGCTACAAAAGAATAAAATATCTAAGAATATTGCTAACCAGGGAGGTATATTTCTTCCCAAAAGAAGGGAAATGTGTATTCATGTCCATACAAAGACTTTTATGTGAATGCTCATAGCAGCATTATTCACAATAGCTTAAAAGTAGAAACAACCCAAATGTCCATCACCTGATAAATGGATGAACACAATGTGGTATATCCATACTCTATAATATTATTTGGCAGTATAAAGGAACAAATTGCTAATATGTCCTGCTAGATGAATAAACCACAAAAATGTTATTTTAAGTGAATGCAACTAGATAAAAGAGAGTACATTTTTTATGATTCCATTTATGTGAGATTTCCAAAAGAGACAATCTATAGAGTAGATCAGTGGTTACCTGGAGTTAGGCAAATTGTCATGAAGAAGCTCTTGGGGTTGATGGAAACATTCTAAAACTTAATTACGGTGATGATTGCACAATTCTGTAAATTTACTAAAAACCATTGAATTGTACCCTTTTGGTGAAATATATCTCAATACAGCTGTTAGAACTGTAAAAAAATTATTAATGTAATCTGTTTGCTGTTATAGGTCTGTATTTATAAAATGTTCTGTTTCTTCTTGAGAAATTTCATTTAAGTTACCTAATTTATTGATATATATGTGTTAATGGTTTTTTTTTTATTTCTGTAAGGTAGGTAATAATTTAGTTCGTTCTTTCATTCCAGATTTTATAAAATTGAGCCATCTCTCTTTTTATCTTGGTCAGCATATCTAAAGTTTTGTCTGTTTTGATATTTTCAAGATCCAACTTTTGGTATTTCTGATTTGCTGTATTATTTTTGATTCTTTATTTCATTCATTTCCACTTTATCTTTATTATTCATTTTTTTCTGTTTGATTTGATCTTCTATTCTTATTTTTAAGTGTGAAATGTTAGGGCATTGATTTGAGATATTTCACTTTTTAAATATAGGTTTTATGGCTACATACTTTCCTCTAAATACTGTTTTACATTTACCCCAAAAGTTTTGATATGTTTTATTTTCAGTTTTACTCTTCAAAATATTTTGCAATTTCCCACATAATTTATTTTTCACCTATTAGTTATTTGGTGTGTCTCGTTTAATTTCCACATATTTGTGCATTTACCTAGTTTATCTTATTGATTTCTAATATAATTCCCTTATAGTTAGAGAACACACATTAGTTCATTTAAATCACTTTAAATTTATTGCAGCTTGTTTCATGACACTCTATGTAGGTTATTTAACTATGTTGCAGTAAGTCTAAAACAACTAATGATTACATCTGGATGTGTATGTGTATGTTTGTGTGTGTGCACATGTGTGCAATGGTGAAATGAGGGGAATGCTCATTATTTTAAAAATAAACTTTGTAAGATTATTTTTTCAAATTTGTATTCTTATTATTATGATTTTTAAAAACCCTCTAAATAAAAAGAAACTAAGTAATTCTTTTCTCACAAGTTAGTATTCTGATAAATTAAGGTATGTCATTCACCTATATAATGTTTATATCTCACATGTACATAGAAGTATGCAGACATACACACACACATACACACACACACACAATTTCAACAAGAAAAAACCTAAATGTTCTGCAGTAATTTATAGATTTTTAAAAATTATTTTAAGGCCAAGTTTATGTATTTTTCTAATAAGTCTATATTGTGATTTTATATTTTCATATAATTGAAATGTATATAAAACATTTTACTTAAGGATCATTGAAAATTAGAAAAATCTATCATGCAATTTAAGTATCTTACATGACTTTTTTGGAGAATGTATTATATATAATATATTTAGACAATAGTTCACCAACACTGTCAGCAATTTAAAAAGTTCTAAGTATTTCTTAATGTTTAGGATTCTAGAAATTGATCATAAAATTAAAATTAATTATATATATTTAAATTTCTGTGAAGTGCCACACTTTGCTTAGATTCTGAATCATTCTACGTTAACTGGGTATTTTAAAAAGAAGATTTACTTAGTGTATTGGAGTGTAATTCACTTCAACAATGAGAAGAACATATCAACTCCTGCAGAGACAGCACACCCTTTGAGAATTTATTCTATAAATCTGTGCCAGTAAGGCAGATTGATTATCTGGTTTCCAGTCATTTCAAATGTCCTCCACTATATTTATTGCTAGGTGTAAGTTGTCCATCTTTGTGCATGTGTCAAAATGTAAATAGCAAATTGATGCTCTCTTGGTTGACCTATGTAGCAGGAAAATGTGAAATCAACAATACATGATTGATTTATTGTTAGTTGTAAACCTTCCTTTCCTACACTGCACCAGGTTTGAGCACAACCTGAAGTGCTAGTAGTCAAATGCAGTTGTATTTGGCATTTTCAAATGGATTTGTTTATTTTCTGTAAGTCACTCAAGCTCCTCCTTTTCTTGTGGGCTACTAACGTGTCTTCTTGGTCAATATATGGAATTGTACTTCCTATATGGTAGTCAGTACCTACATATGGCTATTTGAATTAAAGCTTAAATTTATTAAAATTAAGCCCAACAGAAATGTTGTTTCTTTATCACAATACCTACATTTCTCATTCTGTAGATTCACACGTGGCTATTGTACAATGCAGAGCATTTTCTTCATGACAGAGTTTCACTGGACAGCACTAGTATAGATCTTTCCCTATTATTACTCCTATTTTTCCTGCTGCTATGACCCAGGTTCTGCCCTGAAGCATAGGCTGGTTCATCTTCAGTGCCTTAGTTACTCTGCAGCTCTTTGCAACTTTCATCTTTGTTGCTCTGTATTTTCCCTGCAGTTTTTGAATGTGAGGGAGAATTGTTCATGCTTTTTATTTTTCCCACTAGCCTTGATCTGCGATTTAAGGATATGCAGAACCTTGGGTAAACCTTTCATAACGATTATTCTAGATTTACAATCATTCTTACGGGAAGCTAAGAATAATTCCTCAAGGATTAAAGGAAAGGACATTTGAATGACACCTGCTCCTTTTCAATTCATAAACATGTCTGTCTACCAACACTGGACTGGGTACTGAAATCTGACTTCATTAGAATATCCTTTTCAATTTGAGGTATTCCTGTCTTTGAATGACAACATCTGGGAAATCACTTAAAATATCACACATCACAAAACGTTCAAAGTTTTCTTTCCTCATTGAATACCTCAGTGATTTTATAATGATAGGGCTCGTCTTTTCTTTCAATGTGTCATTTAGTTTCTGTGTAAAAGATAAGTCTTGTATTCTTGCAGTTTTGTTGAAGGGAGAAGACTTCCATGGGCAAAGGAATCATGGAACCTCCTAATTTGGCATTCTGTGTAATTATAGACCTACTTTGGATAAAAACATATTTTATGCAAATTGTGTGTGAAGATGTCAGTTAAGAGAAGACAAGTCCAGTATGACTTTTCACCTATACCTACTTGATAATCAGAGAAGGCAGGGATTAACCCTTAGCCTTGTGAATTCACCACACAGTTTTAGAAAAATTGTATGTTTCAGGAGGGAGAAAGGCTTCATACTTAAAAAAGACAGTTAAGGGCTGAGATGAGTACATTGAATTATCTCGATAATTACCAACAGTCATTATCATTGACAGTCACCAACAGTCATCAACAAAGACAGCATCAGACATTTTAAAATAGAGCCCTCAGTCTGGTCCTGTGTTAAACCTGTCCCATAACTTCAGCTTTCCACTCCTATCATCCCTAACTTTGGGACCCAGCACTAGACTCGAAGACAGACAGTGAAGACTCAAGCCCCAGTAACTGTCGATTCAATTCATCATGACTCAGATTCCTCTTTATTTCAGTCATTCTCCAAAATTGGAGCATCCTGTGAATAGCTTCTCTTCCCTGTCAGCTCTGATTCCCCTCACACTTAGCTTCCCTTCCCTTTTTCTCTGCCCTCTAGTGTCCCTACGCTTCTATAAGTCCTCTGTATTTTTCTGGGCTTCCTTTTTCTTCATGATTTCTTCTCATTGGGAACCTGGCTATCTCAATAGCACTGTTTTTTAAAATAGCATTTCCTATGAATCTTGCTGTGGGTCTAGAAGTGATCCTTTCTGGAGGCCTTGTTCCCTGGGGTGATTTTTCTAGAGGGTCCTTATCTGTTAAAAATGCCTGCTTCTGGCTGGGTATGGTGGCTCATGCCTGTAATCCTAGCACTTTGGGAGGTCGAGGTGGGAAGATTACCTGAGGTCAGGAGTTCCAGACTAGCCTGGCCAACATGGTGAAACCCTGTCTCTACTAAAAATACAAAAAATAGCCGGGCATGGTGATGCTCACCTGTAATCTCAGCTACTAGGGAGGCTGAGGCAGGAGAATCGCTTGAACCCAGGAGGAGGAGGCTGCAGTGAGCCGAGATCACACCACTGCACTCCAGCCTGAGTGACAGAGTGAGACTCTGTCTCAAAAGAATAAATAAATAAATAAATAAAATAAATAATTTTAAAAAGCCTGCTTCTTTGAACTTTGTATTGTGTGGCTTTGCCAGTTCCCCTCTGTGAAATCTCTGGTGAGTGGTCTCTTGTGAATAGTCATCTCCAGACATGCTCCTGGTCACCGCCAGCTAGACTCATAGTATATCCGGTACCCTACTCATCTCATTTTCTGAGTGATTTCAGTATCCAAATGGAGGTTTATCCAGAACCCTGGCCTCACACTTCCTTTTTCTTCACATTTCTGTTGATGTGGAAGAAACTAAGTGACACATTGAAAGAAAAGATGGGTCCTATCATTATAATTTTCCTTTTCTTCACATTTCCAGTCCCCTCAGCTTCTGTTAAAGACTAATGTCCATCCAGCAATCAGATGAAGATGACAGTTTGCGAAACATACTCTTTGGCAGTATTTGACTTTAAAATATGAGTCCATATTATTAATATATAAAAAAGCCTTAAAAATAAAATAATAGCCTAAAATAATAGTAATATTATAATATGTATGATATTAATAATCAAATTAAGAAAAAAAGCAGATGAACCAGAAGTGGAAAAATAAAAATGAGACACAAAATATAACCAGCTGCTGATGATTAAATGCTAAGATTCCAGGGAAATAAGATCAAGCAAAGTTGTTGTTGTTTTTTCTTATCTATGAAATATCAAAACAGGTTGTATTTGAACATGAAATACTACATCTTTATGCAATTTATTCCTTGATGTCTGCAAGCTAGTGCCACTGCAGAAATAGATTATCATGGGAATGAATTGCTTGCTGTTTTGACCAAAGAGTTGAAACCTCAGGAAAATAACATATGAGCAGTATTTTAGGCTTCTATAATTTGGTTATAAGAATGGACTGTACATAAGATTCTATGACAGAAAATGGAATTGGCAGTGGTACAGCCAGTTAAAGTTAAATAAAAATAGAAACCCAAGTGTTTTGCCTATTAGGGCAATATGAATGACTAGAGCTGAACATATGCACTTTATAATATTCAGCTCCTCATTTTATTTAAAACTGTTTAGATTGTCAGCACTGAGTTTATGAGTATAGCACAGTACTAGATATATGTACCTCTGAACCCATCAATGCTTGTTGTCATGACCTTGGAGGTTTTGGCATGTGAGAAGTACTATTATTCTTCCCTTTTCACATTTAAAATATTCACATTCTTGCCTGTTTTCTACCTCCCACCTCTAGAAGTTTACCAAGGTACCATGGAATAACAGGGTCGACCATCTTAATATTTTTTAAACATAAATAATGTAAGGTTTTGGTAAAAAAAAATCAACACAAAGTTTAAAAACGTCATTAGAAAAAATGAATTTTTATTTTAAATTATCTGTAATGTAACTTGAAATGCAATAAGAATTTTCTCATACATATGTAAATATTTTAGCAGTGATATTACTTCCGTAGCATTTTCAGCTTTAGTATAGATCAATTTTATTTTTATCAATTTAAATTTCTAATAAATTATGTAATTTATAATTTTATTTTCAAAATTGAGATTTGGATCTTGAGCCATAAGAATGGTATTCTCTTTGAATTAACCCTTTTTTATATGGTTGATAGTAATGTCCATAATCTCATCTTTTATTTTAGTTATTCATGTCTCCTCTCATTTGTTTACTGTCAGACTAGTTTAAAGTTTTGTCGTTTTTTTTTTTTTGAGATGGAGTCTCGCTCTGTTGCCCAGGCTGGAGTGCAGTGGCATGATCTCGGCTCACTGCAAGCTCCGCCTCCCGGGTTCACACCATTCTGCCACCTCAGCCTCCCGAGTAGCTGGGACTACAGGCACCCGCCACCATGCCTGGCTAATTTTTTTGTATTTTTAGTAGAGATGGGGTTTCACTGTGTTAACCAGGATGGTCTCGATCTCCTGACCTCGTGATCCAACCATCTTGGCCTCCCAAAGTGTTTTGTCATTTTTATAATATTTTTAAACAACCAACTTTTTGTTTATTGATTGTTATGATTTCTCTGTTGATATTCTCGTTTCGTGTATACATTATTTTCATGACATTCTTTTGTTCTTTTCTATGGTTTCCTTTAGTTCTATGAACGTATTTAAGACAGTGGCTTTAAAGTCTTTTTCTAATAAGTCCTATGGCTGGGATTTCTTCATAATCTTTTGTTTTGTTTTGTTGGTTATTGAATACTGGACATTTGAATATTATAATTTGGTAACTCTGTACATCAGATTATCCTCCTTTCTCTGGGTTTACTCTTCTTGCTTATTGAAGGCTGTAGTCATCCATTTGTTTATTGACTTTTCAAAACTATTATTGCAAAGAATACATTCTTTGCTATGCATGGTCACTGAAGTGTCTGTTCCTTTAGCTGGTGTTGAGTAGTGTTTTGAGATATATTTCCTTGAATGCCAGGAACTAAAATAATCAGACACATAAACAAAAACACCTATCATAGTCTTTTTGGATAGAGTGTCCTGAGGCACTTCTTCAGCAGTTAGCGAGGTTGTTTACAACAATTTCTTAGTTTTTACTTACCACTTGCACTTAGCCTAGAGTCAGACAAAGATGAAAGTTTAACATCTTCTCAGGTATTTTCTGAGCACATGTCCTACTCTGAGTGTCCTTGATGCTTTCTAAATTCTCCAGGGCACTTTTAAATGCCTTAATTTCTCCAAAAGCTCTCCTACTTTTATTTCCAGACTTTAGGTAGCGTTTGCATGTCTCAACCATAATATTCTGTCAGGTGGCTTTGGGTTTTTTGTTTATCTTACAATATTTTTTAACAATTTCACTGCTTTTCTGCCTTGAGTGAGTTCAAAGATAGGCAAAACATGCCAAGCACATTGCATCAGTCCTTCATGTACCCCCAGGAAGGTTAGAAGAGATAAACACAGTAATTTCTGAATGAAGTCTGTTTTGTTTCATCAAAAACCAGGTATCTTTGTTTAAGTTCCTTGTAGATTGTGGGTATTAGAACTTTGTCAGATGGGTAGATTGCAAAAATTTTCTCCCATATTGTAGGTTGCCTGTTCACTCTGATGCTAGTTTATTTGCTGTGCAGAAGCTCTCTAATTTAATTAGATTCCATTTATCAATTTTGGCTTTTGTTGCAATCGCTTTTGGTGTTTTAGTCATGAAGGCTTTGCCCATGCCTGTGTCCCGAATGGTTTTGCCTAGGTTTTCTTCTAGGGTTTTTATGGTTTTTGGTTTTACATTTAAGTTTTTAATCCATCAAAAGATATGAACAGACACTTAAGACATTTATGTGGCCAGCAAGCATTAAAAAAACATCATCATCACTGGTCAGTAGAGAAATGCAAATCAGAATTACAATGAGATACTATCTGATGCCAGTCAGAATGGCAATTATTAAAAAGTCAGGAAACAATAGATGCCGGTGAGGCTGTGGAGAAATAGGAATGCTTTTACACTGTTGGTGGGAGTGTAAATTAGTTCAACCATTGTAGAAGACAGTGTGACGATTTCTCAAGGATCTAGAACCAGAAATACCATTTGACCCAGCAATTCCATTACTGGGCATATACCCAAAGGATTATAAATCTTTCTACTATAAAGACACATGCACACGTATGTTTATTGCAGCACTATTTACAATAGCAAAGACTCGGAACAACCCAAATGCCCATGAATGATAGACTGGATAAAGAAAACGTGACACATATACACCATGGAATACTATGCAGCCATAAAAAAGGATGAGAGCATGCCCTTTGCAGGGACACGGATGAAGCTGGAAGCCGTCATCCTCAGCAAACTAACACAGGAACAGAAAACAAGCACCACATGTTCTCACTCATAAGTGGGAGTTGAACAATGAGAACACATGGACACAGGGAGGGGGACAACACACAGTGGGGCCTGTTGGTGGTTGGAGGGCATGGGGAGGGAGAACATTAGGACAAATACCTAATGCATGCGGGGCTTAAAACCTAGATGACGGGTTGTTAGGTGCAGCAAACCACCATGGCACAAGTATACCTACGTAACAAATCTGCACATTCTGCACATGTATCCTGGAACTTAAAATAAAAAATTAAATTAAGTTAAAAAAATAAAGAAAACAGGTCCCAGGGTCTTGCACTGGGGAATGAAGTCTGCTAGCCTCAAGACAACTGCTGAGTCAGAGGGAGTGGCACAAGGGCAAGTAAAAGTGCCACAAAGCTTTCCTACTATTTTTAAGTTGTCTTTTTTTTTTTGATTCAGTGTTCACTTGATTGCTGTAAACTTTTGACTTTTTTCCAGTTCTGACAACACGGTTCCTGACAGTTTTTATGTGTTTTTCACGTTTCTGTGGGGCCATGGACATTTGGAGCTGCCTGTTTACCATTTGGCTGAAGCCAACCTTTTTAGTTTTGATACAGCCCCCAAACATGAAGATCGACTCTTTCTTTTCTCTTTGATGCAGACTCTGTGTTTTCATCTAGACTGGACCACATATTCTTTTTTTGAAAATGAGGGGCTAGCACTATATAATTGCAAATATATTTTGTAGCTCTGAGTGTTAATTGTTTTATGATTCACCTGCCTGGGTGCCGATATTGTCAGTCCATTTCGGGTTTTGAATCCAGATGTATAAAAATCACAGCCAAGGAATTCGCTTTAACTTTTTAAAAAATGTGCATAAACTAAAAGTCTCTTTCGGATATATGAACAATTAACAAATGTATACAATTGGGCAAAAAATAACAAAATCAATATAGAGAACAGTTGCATCACCTTCTGTACATTTTCTTGTGTGTATTACTATAGGCTGTGAAGGGTACTAGGTGAATGAGGGGGAGGTATCGATGGTTAATGGGTACAAAAACATAGTTAAAAAGAATGAATCAAGACCTAGTATTCATCCCCTCCTCCACCTCTAGTCCATGGCAAACACTAATCTGAATTTGACTCCATAATTTTGCCTTTTATAGAATGTCATATAAGTGAAATCATAAGGTATTCATAAGGTAATCATGAGGTTTTCAGTCTGACTTCTCTCACTTAGCATAATAAATTTGAAATTCATCCACATTATTGTATGCAACAGTAGTTCATTCTTTTATTGTTGAAAAGTAAGTTTGTTATTCATTCACCATTTGGAGAGCATTTGGATTATTTTCAGTTTTTGGCAATAATGAATAAGTTGTATGAATAAGTTTCACTTCTCTTGGGTAAACACCTAAATTTGGGAGTCCTGAGCTTTATGTGAAATATATAGTTAACTTTCTAATAATGAAGAAACTTGTTTTTCAAAGTAACTATAAAATTTTGCGTTCTCATCAGCAATGTATGTGTTTTACGTGTTCACATGTTATTTTTGTTTAAGCAGTTGTGATAGGTGTGAAGTGATATCTCATATGGTTTCAATTTGCATTTCCTTAGTATGAAACATCTTTCCATGTGCTAATGTGTAATTTGTATAGCTTCTTTTCTGAAGTGTCTTTTCAAATATTTCACCAACTTTTTTCATTAGTTCATTTTCTTAAATTGAACTTTGAGTATTCTTTATGTACTTTGGATACAAGATAGATTTTTTGTGAGAAATGGGTTTTTGACTTATACTTTTATTTTCTTAATAATGTCTTTTAAAATAACAGATTAAACAATTGATACTGTACAATTTAATTGCTTTTCAATAGATAGTTTAATAGATGGTTGCTTTTGTATTTAAGAATCTTTGCTTACCCAAGGATTACAAGGATTTTTTTTCCTATAATTTCTTCCTAAATATTTACCACTTTGGATTTTATATTTAAAATCTGGTTCATTTTGAATGAATAAGAATTATTTTAAAAATTTATTTTTATTTTTTTGAATTATTTTTGAACTCATTAAAAATGAACCATCTTTTTTTTAAAAATGTAGTTCAATGTCGCAAGATAATTTTATTTTTTAAAACTGCTTTTTAAAAACTGCTGTTTGGCTAAATAAATAGTATCCCATATTTCGCAAAGCAAAAATTAACAAGTATAATGTATTTTTTTTGTATCAGGTGACAGTAGTTGAATTCATCATTCAAGTTCAGATTAATTTCTTTGAGTCTTCAAAGCTCTACACTAAATATTTGTCCAGTTCTCCTTCGAATCCAAAAACAGTACCACTTATCCGACCATGTTACGTTCAAGCTACTGGTATGTAATATAAAATAATCAATTGGTGTGGGTAGGCCAAAGATTTACACTTAAGTGTCTAAAAGATAAAAAATAGAATATGCCATTTGTTTTTCATAAATGGAAATATTAGAAAATAAAATTTTAAGAGGATTCCTTTGTGTGTCACTTAAATTGAGTCTATGAGATTTGAGTGTTGACAAACAGCGCAGATATAATCTCTGGCAAGCAACTTGCTAAAAAAAAGAGAATAGAATGAAAATCAGGCCAATTTAGTACATTATTATGTGGTCAATTTTAAATAATTAAGACAAAATATAAATTATTAAAATATTACAAAATGCATTTAACATAAAATAAAATAATAAGAATTTTGTTTAAGAACATATCTCTATTCCAAAGGGATGGGTTACTAAAAGACTGAGTACATGAAAAGAAGAAGTATTTTAGAAATTTGAAAGTTTTGCTGAATATTTATCTACTCATTTTCTTCAAATATTAAAAGATAAAAACTGATGTACTCTGCAAATTACATTTTTGCAAGTTGGCTTTGCTTTCAATTATATATGTATATTTTTCATGAAAAGAAAAGAAGTCTATATTTTGTTTTTATAGTTCTGATATTAAGTTAAATCGTCATTAATTCTAAAATAGTAGGGAGTATCATATCAGTTAATAATTGCATTTGGTAACTAGTAAGAGAGGTCTCACGAAAATAGCATGCAGATGATAAAAATATTTCACTCTCATTTAAAATCCAGAATTAGGAATTCCACAGCTGATATGGAGGCTCAATGAAGTTAAAGTTTTTCCCTTTGAATTAAGAATTTCTTTTGGAAAGTAATCATAATCTAATATTGCTTCCTGAATTAGGTAGATAAGCTTTCAAAACATTTACTTGTTTGAAAATTAAAAATTAAGATAGCATTGTTAAAGAAAATTGGAAAATGTAGAAGCAAAAATATCTGAAATTCAAATATTTAAAGTGTTCTTAATATTTTGATATCTTTTTTGTTCTATACATCCCTTTTGTTAATGTATTTTTTTAATATGCTTGTGATCTTACTGCTTATGCTAAGTTGAAACCAGCTCTGTTTCATTTTATTTTTTAATTTTTAGTTTTTGGGGGCACATAGTAGGTGTATATCTTTATGGGGTACATGAGATGTTTTGATACTGGCATGCAATGGGTAATAATCACATCATGGAATATGGAGTATCCATCCCATCAAGCATTTATTTTTTGTGTTAGAAACAATTCAATGATACTCTTTTGGTTATTTTTAAGTATATAATTAAATTATTATTGACTGTAGTCACCCTGTTGTGCTAGCTAATACTAAGTCTTATTCATTCTTTCTAATTATGCTTTTGTACCCATATACCATCCCCTCATCCTGCCCCTCATCCACCTACTACCCTTCACAGCCTGTAGTAACCATCCTTCTGCTCTCTGTCTCCATGAGTTCAATCATTTTCATTTGTAGATCCCACAAATAAGTGAGAACATGTGATGTTTGTCTTTCTGTGCTTGCCTTATTTCATTTAACATAATGACCTCCAGTTCCATTCATATTGTTGCTAATGACAGGATCTCATTCTTTTTATGGATAAATAGTACTCCATTATGTATCTGTACCACATTTTCTTTATCCAGTAATCTGTTGATAGAACCTTAGGATGCTTTCTAATTTGGCTATCGTGAACAGTGCTGCAACAAACATGTGAGTGCAGATATCTCTTTGATATACTGATTTCCTTTCTTTTGGGTATATGCCCAACAGTGGGATTGCTGGATCTTATGCCAGTCTTTTTTTTTTTTTTTTTTTTTTTTGAGGAAACTTCAAACTTTTCTCCATAGTGGTTCTACTAATTTACATTCGCATCAACGAACAGTATACAAGGGTTCCTTCCCTTTTCTCCGTATCCTCACCAGCATTTGTTTTTGCCTATCTTTTGGACAAAAGCCATTTTAACTGAGGGGAGATGATATCTCATGTAGTTTTGATTTGCATTTCTCTGATGATCAATGATGTTGAGCACATTTTCATGTGTCTGTTTGCCATTTGTATGTTTTCTTCTGAGAAATGTCTATTCTTTTGCTCAATTTTAAATCGGATTATTAGATTTTTTCTCATAGAGTTGTCTGAGGTCCTTACATATTCTGGTTATTAACCCATTTGAAGTTTGAAGTTTCCTCAAAAAATACAAATAAAGCTAGCATATGATCCAGCAATCCCACTGCTGGGCATATACCGAAAAGAAAGGAAATCAGTGTATCAAAGAGATATCTGCACTTCCATGTTTGTTGCAGCACTGTTCATGATAGCCCAATTAGGAAGCAACCTAAGGTTCCATCAACAGATTACTGGATAAAGAAAATGTGGTACAAATACACCCTTGTCAGATGGGTAGTTTGCAAATATTTTATCCCATTCGGGTATTGTCTCTTCACTTTGTGGATTGTTTACTTTGCTGCACAGAAGCTTTTTAAATTTGATGTGATATCGTTTGTCCAGTTTTGCTTTGGTTGACTGTGCTTATGAGTATTATTCAAGAAATTT
The DNA here is from genome assembly GCF_000001405.40 of Homo sapiens. NCBI lineage: Eukaryota > Metazoa > Chordata > Mammalia > Primates > Hominidae > Homo > Homo sapiens. Next base: position 36,017,456 of record NC_000023.11, read on the forward strand.
TTGCCTGGACCAATGTCCTGGAAAGTTTCCCCAATATTTCCTTGTAGAAGTTTCATAGTTTGAGGTCTTGGATTTAAGTCTTTAATTACTTTTTATTTTATTTTTGTATATGGTGAGAGATAGTGGTGTAGTTTCATTCTTCTGCATATGGATATCCAGTTTTCCTGTGCCATTTATTGAAGTAAGTCTTTTCCCCATTGTGTTTTCTTGGCTTTTTTGTTGAAAATGAGTTCACAGTAGGTGTGTGGATTTGTTTCTGGTTTGTCTATTTCATTGCGTTTGTCTATGTGTCTGTTTTTCTGCCAGTACCGTCTGTTTTGATTATTATAGCTAGGTAGTATAAAGTCAGGTAATGTTATTCCTCTAGTTTTGAACTTTTGCCTAAGATAGTGGATCTTTTGTGGTTCCATATAAATTTTAGGATTGATTTTTCAATTTCTGTGAAGAATGTCATTGGTATTTTGATAGGGATTAGATTGACTCTGTAGATTGCTTTGGGTAATATGGATATTTTTACAATAGTGACTCTTCCAAACCGAGAACGTGAAATATCATCCCTTTTTTTGGCGTCCTCTTCAATTTCTTTCATTAATGTTTCATAATTTTCATTGTAGAGTTCTTTCACTTCTTTGATGAAGTTAATTTCTAGGTACTTAATTTTATTTATGGCTATTGTAAATGGGAATACTTTTAAAATTGCTTTTTCATGCTGTTTGCTATTGGCATATAGAAATCTACTGGTTTTTCTGTCGATTTTGTATCTTGTAACTCTACTGAATTTGTCATTTATAATATTTTTTGATGTAGTCTGTAGATTTTTCCAAATACAAAATAATGTTGCTCTGCAAACAAGGTTATTTTTACCTCCTCCTTTCCAATTTGTATGCCTTTATTTCTTTCTCTTGTTTGATTGCTCTGGCTAGGATTTCCAGTACTATGTTGAGTAACAGTGGAGAAAGTGAGTATCCTTGTCATGTTTCATATCTTAGAGGAAGGCTTTCAGTTTGATACTATCTGTGGGTCTGTCATGTATGACTTTTATTACGTTGAGGAATTGTCCTTCTATCTCCAGTTTTTTGAGGGCTTTTATCATGAAAGGATGTTGAATTTTATCAAGTGTTCTTTCAGCATTAATGGAAATGATCACATGGTTTTTGTCCTTCATTCTGTTGATATGATGTATCACATTGATTGATTTACATATATTATTCCATTCTTGCATCCCAGGGATAAATCCCACTTGGTCATGATGAATGATCATTTTAATATATTGCTGAATTTGATTTGCTAGTATTTTGTTGAAGATTTTTGCATCAATATTCATCAGCGATATTGGCCTGTCCTATCTTTTTTTTTTTTTTAAATGCGTCATTGTCTGGTTTTGGTATCAGAGGAATACTGGCCTCATAGAATGAATTTGGAAGTATTCCATTGTCTTCTGTTTTTCAGAATAGTTTGAGGAGGATTGGTATTAGTTCTTTAAATGTTTGGTGGAATACAACAGTGATGATACCAGGTTTTCCTTACTAGGAGACTTTTTATTATGTCTTGAATCTCATCACTTATTATTGGTCTGTTGAAGTTTGGAATTTCCCCCTGGTTCTGCGGTAGTGCTCCTCACACGGGGGCACCAGTTGTGGGGGGGTCTGTCCCTTGCAGACCCCTGACCCAGCGACAGATGAATGAAGTACACCGACACACAGATATTCTGCTTTGCCAGTCCAGCTGAATGTCTGAGCCTCTTAGAGACTCCAGCAGAGTCCTGTAAACAGTTAAGACTGTGGCCTCAATCAGTCAGTGAGATTTGCATTTATTTAGTAAAGATTAAGAGGTCCTGAGTAAACATCACTAGAGGGTAAAGATTCAAGGCCAGGTTCCTCGGCCTAAAGCAAACACGATTTGCAGGTAATAAACTTCTGCCGACCTCCTCCCCCGAGTAGGAGGCAGTTAAGCACCTGTGGTAGGACAAAGGTTAGTCTTAGGCGCATATAAGTAAACAGTTTGGTAAGATAAACTCCACACATTCCTTTGTATTTGCACCCTAATCTTTCTGGCTCCTGCAAAGAGACCCTGGCTGCCTTCAGCCAAGCAATGTGAAGCTATGCAAACTCTCAGGCCTTCCAAGAGAGGTTGTCGCTATTACTATAACTATCTTTAATATTTTTCCCACCCGCCTGACTGAACCCCAACATGGTGCAATCTTGGTGCATTGTATGTGTCTAGGAATTTATCAATTTCTCCTAGATTTTTCCAATTTATTGGTATATAGTTGCTCATAGTAGCCACTAATGACCCTTTGAATTTCTGCAGTATCAGTTGTAATAAGCCTTTTTAAAAATCTCTGATTTTATTTATTTGGATCTTCTCTCTTGTTTTTTAGTTAGTCTGGCTAAAGGTTTGTCAATTTTGTTTAACTCTTCAAAACAACAACTTTTCATTTCATTGATCTTTTGTACTCTCTTCATTTCATTTTTTAAAATTTCTGCTCAGATCTTATTTCTTTTTTTCTACTAATTCTGGTTTGTTCTTGTTTTTATAGTTTTTTAAGATGCATCATTAGGTTATTTGAAGATTTTCCTCTTTTCTGATATAGACACTTATAGCTATAAACTTTCCTTTTAGTATTGCTGTTGCTGTATCCCATAGGTTTGGATATGTTATGTTTTCTTTCTGTGAATTTGTATAGTTTCCAAAATTCCTCTTATTATTGATTTCTTGTTTTGTTCAATTGTAGTCAGAGAAGATGCTTGATATAATTTCAAATTTTGAATGTTTTAAGACTTGTTTTGGGACCTGACGTATGATTCTTCGTTGAGAATGATCCACGTGCTGAGAAGAAGAATATATATTCTGTAGCCATTGGATGAAATGTTCTGTATATATCTATTAGATCCTTTTGGTCTATAGTGTAGATTAAGTCAAATGCTTCTTTTTGGATTTTCTGTTTGGGAGATCTGTCCAATGCTGAAAGTGGAGTGTTGAAGACTCTAGCTATTATTGCATTCAGATCTATTTGTTTCTTTAGGTCTAATAATATTTGCTTTGTATATCTGAGTGCTCCAGTGTTGGGTTCATATACATTTATAATCGTTATATCTTCTTGCTGAATTGACTCCTTTATCATTATATAGTGACCTTCTTTGTCTCTTCTTATAGTTTTTGCCTTGAAACCTATTTTGTCTGATAAAAGTGTAGCTACTCCTGCTCTTTTTTGGTTTCTGTTGGAATGAAATATCTTTTCCATCACTTTGTTTTCAGTCTATGTGGGTCTTTATATTAATAGATGAATTGTGTTGCTTATAGGCAGCAGGTCACTGGGTCTTGTACTTTTATCCATTCAGCCAGTCCATTTACATTTGATGTTATTATTGTTAAGTAAGGACTTACTTCTTGAATTTTGTTATTTCTTTTCTGCTTGTTTTGTGGTCTTTGTTTTCTTCTTTGTTTCCTTCCTGTCTTCCTCTTAGGGATGGTGATTTTCTTTGGTGATATAATTTAGTCTCTCACTTTTTATGTTTAGTGTATCTGTTGTATTTTTTTGGTTTGAGGTTACCATGAGGTTTGCAAATAGTATCTGATAACCTTTCCTTTTAAGCTAATAACAAGGTAACACTATTTGCATGAAAAACAAATAAAAAAGCAAAAAGAAAACTAATGAAAACTTTATGCCTTAACTTCATCCCTCTGCTTTTTAACTTTTTGTTGTCTCTATTTATATCTTATGGTACTATGTCTTGAAAAGGTGTTGTAATTATTATTTTTGATTGGATCATCATTTAGTCTATGTAAGAGTATTTTACACACCATAGTTACAGTGCTATAATATTTGTTTTTTGTGTGTCCTTTTTTTAATTTTTCTCTTTTTTGAGATGGTGTCTTGCTTTGTTGCCCAGGCTGGAGTGCAGTGGCATGATCTTGGCCCTGCAACCCTCAACCTCCTGGGTTCAAGTGATTCTCCTGCCTCAGCCTTCCGAGTAGCTGGGACTACAGGCATGCACCACCATGCCTGGCTAATTTTTTGTGTTTTTATTTTTTTAATTGTTTATTTACTCATTTTACTATACTTTAAGTTCTGGGATACATGTGCAGAATGTGCAGGTTTGTTACATAGGTATACATGTGCCATGGTGGTTTGCTGCACCCATCAACCCATCATCTAGGTTTTAAGCCCCAAATGCATTAGGTATTTGTTCTAATGCTATCCCTCCCCTTTCCCCCCACCCCCCGACAGGCCACGATGTGTGATGTTCCCCTCCCTGTGTCCGTGTGTTCTCACTGTTCAACTCTCACTAATGAGTGAGAACATGCGGTGTTTGGCTTTCTGTTCCTGTGTTAGTTTGCTGAGGATGATGGTTTCCAGCTTCATCCATGTCACTGCAAAGAACATGAACTTATTTTTTATGGCTGCATAGTATTCCATGGTGTATATGTGCCACATTTTCTTTATCCAGTATATCATTGATGGGCATTTGGGTTGGTTCCAAAAAATATGGAACACTTCATGAATTTGCATGTCATCCTTTTGCAGGGGCCATGCTAATCTTCTCTGTATCATTCCAATTTTAGTATATGTGCCTCTGACGTGAGCACTTGTCTGTGTCCTTCTTATTCCCGGTGAGTTTTGTACCTTCAGATGACTTCTTACTGCCAATTAACACCATTTGCTTTCTGATTGAAGTACTCCACGCATTCCTTGTAGGACAATTCTGGTGTTGATCAAATCCCTTAGCTTTTGTTTGTCTGAGAAAGTCTTCATTTCTCCTTCATGTTTGAAGGATAATTTTGCCAGACATACTATTCTAGGCTAAAAGTTTTTTTTCTTCAGTACTTTAAATATTTCATATCACTCCAACCTGGCCTGTAAGGTTTTCACTGAAAGATCTGCTGCTAGACATGTTGGAGCTCCTATGTATCTTATTTGTTTCTTCTCTTTTGTCTGCTTTTAGGATTCTTTCTTTATCCTTGATCTTGGAATTTTGATTATTAAATCCCTTGAGGTAGTCTTCTTTGGCTTAAATCTGCTTGGTGTTCTATAACTTGGATATCTATATATCTTTCTCTAAATTTGGGAAGTTCTTTGTTATTATCCTTTTGAAGCAACTTTCTACCCCTGTCTCTGTCTGTTGCCTCTTTAAGGGCAGTAACTCTTAGATTTGTCCTTCTGAGGCTATTTTCCAGATCCTGTAAGCATGCTTAATTTTTTTTATTTTTATTTTTATTTTATCTCCTCTGACTGTGTATTTTTAAATAGACTGTCTTTGAGCTCACTGGTTCTTTATTCTGCTTGATCAGTTCTCCCATTAGAACTCTGATGCAAATTGCATTTTTCAGCTCCAGAATTTCTGGTTGATTTTTAAAAATTATTTCCGTCTCTTTGTTAATCTTATCTATAGAATTGTGAATTCCTTTTCTTTATTATCTTGAATGTCTTTGAGTTTCCTCAAAATAACTATTTTGAATCCTCTTTCTGTACAGTCACATGTTTCTGATTCTCCAGGATTGGTCCCTTGTGTCTTATGTAGTTCATTTGATGAGGCCATGTTTTCCTGGGTGGTCCTGATACTTGTAGATGTTTGTCTGTGTCTGGGCATTCAAGAGTTATGTAGTTATTGTAGTGTTCACATTCTGAGATTGTTTGTACGTGTCCTTCTTGGGTAGGTTTTCCAGATATTTGAAAGGACTTGGGTTTTGTGATCTAAGCTGTGTCTGCTTTAGGGGGCACCCCAAGCCCAATAACACTGTGATTCTTGCAGAATCAGAGAGGGACCACCTTGATGATTTTGGACAAGATCCAGAAGAAGTCTCTGAATTATCAGGCAGAGACTTGATCTTTTCATTACTTTCTCCCAAATGAACAGAGTCTCTCTCTCTGTTCTGAGACACATGGAGTTGGGAGTGGAGTGATACAAGTACTTCTGTGGCCACCACCACTAGGACTATGCTGTGTCAGACCTGAAGCACAGCACTCAGTTTCACCCAATGCCTCCTATAGCCACTCCCTGGCTACCACCTATGTTCACTCAAGGCCCTAGGGCTGTACAATCAGATGGTGGCAAAACCAACCAGTCTTGTGTCTTTTCCTTCAGGACAGCAAATTCCCCCAGGCCCCGGGTGGGTCCAGAGGTGTTGTCCTGGAGCCAGGGACTAGAGTCAAAAACCTTACATGTTTCTCTGATGTTCTATTATACTGCAGCTGAGCTAGCACACAGACCACAAGATGCAGTTCTCCCCACTCTTTCTTCCCCATTCCAAAGGCAGAGGAACCTCATCATGTGGCCACTGCCACCACAGGCCCACAGGGAGTGCTGCCAGACTACTGCTGATGTTTCCTTAAGGCACAAGGGCTCTTCAGTCAGCTTGTGGTGAATGCTGCCTGTCCTGGGACTCAGCCTTCAGAGTAGTGGGCTCCCCCCGGCCCAGGGCATGTCTAGAAATGTCACCCAAGAGCCAAGTTCTGGAATTGGGAATCCCAAGAGCCCGCTTGGTGCTCTCCCCCACTGTTGCTGACCTGGTACCTAAGGCGCAAGACAAAGTCCCCATTACTTTTCCCTCTGCTTTTCTCACCCTATAGCCACCACAGCTCTTAATGTGCTGAGTCTCACCTGAAGCCATCAAGTCTCAGAGTTTCACCCAAGGCCCTTGATGTAGAACTTGGGAGTCACTGCTGATTATTCAGGACCCATAGGCTCTTAACAGGTGATGAATACTGCCAGGACTGAGTTCTCCCCTTCAAGGCAGAGGGTGTACTTCTGGCCCACGGTGTTTCTAGAAATGTCATGTGAAAGCTAGGGTCTGGAAAAGGAGCTTATGACCCTGACTGGTGCCCTATCCTGCTGCAGCTGAGCTCTTATCCAAAATGTAAGACAAAGTCCTTCCTGCTTTTGCCTCTCTTCTCCTCAAGTGTAAAAGAGAGGGATCTCTTTGCAGCTGTGTGCTCTGCAGCCTTGAGTTAGAGGATGTGTGATGCCAGCACTTACTTAGCTCCCCCAGCTGGTGTCTTATTAGGTCACGTGCCTCCCCAGAACACTGGCTCTGGGCCCAGCTCGGCCATTAGGACTTACCTAGGAATTGCTGTCCATGTGGGCTAGACTGCCTTTCAATTTTATCTAGGGTTCCACAGCACTTTATTTTGAGGTGGCGAGGCTTGTGGGAACTCAGTTTTCGACTACTGGGATCAGTGATTCACTTCTGGCTAGGGCTGGTTTAAACACTCCCTCCATGGGTAGATGTCAGTTGTGTTTGATCCAGTTTGACTTTCTGCTCTAATAGGGCAGTACCGTACTGCCACTGCCGGGTATTTGGAACAGGTGATGTCAGTGATTCATGACTGTTTTACCTACTTCTTCAGCCTCTTTCAGTGTTATGAAGTTGAAACCAGGTGCTGTTAGTGGTCACTTGATTTTTGGTTCTTATGAAGTTGCTTTTTTTGTGTAGATACTTGTTAAATGGTGACCTTTGCAGGGAGGACCTTCTGTTTCAACATTTTGCTGCACTCATTCTCTCTCTGTTTAATCTTAATAGAATGTTTTACTTGGATATTGTAGTTCCTTATTAATTATTTAAATTAACCCTGAGAGCTAGTGCAAAAAAAATTCATCCCGTAAGTATCTCTTCTAGGTGACCTAAACGTCATCATAAGCATTTAGGTTGTTTCTTCCTTTTACCTTCTTGTTAATATAAATATTGTGGTAGTGAAAATTTTTTGTATAATACTTTTTTTCTTATTTAGAATTTTTTGGAGAGATTCTCAAAATGGATTTTATTATTTCTAAAGTGCATACATGTTAAAGGTTCTAGATGAATGTTGTCACAGAACATTTCTAAAGGGTTGTACCGTTTTACTCCCTCCTTGGTGTAAAATCTTATTAATGTTGACTTAAAGAAATTGGCTATCTTGACTGGTAATTTCTGCTCACACCTATAATCCTAGCACTTTGGGAGGCTAAGGCTAGAGGGTCCCTTGAAGCTAGAAATTCGAGACCAACCTGGGTAGCACAGTGAGACCCTGTCTCTAAATAAAAATGAAAAAAAAAAAAGTAGTTGAATGTGGTGACGCATATCTGTAGACCCAGCTACTCAGGAGGCTGGGGCGCGAGTATCTCTTGAACCTAGTGGTGAGCTATGATCCTGCTACTGCACTCCAGCCTGGGTGATAAAGTAAGATGGTGTCTATAAAAAAAAAGAATTTGTATATCTTTCTCTGTGATTAAAAATATATTATTTCAATGTTCAGTTTGATTGCTCATGAGGATGAGAATTTCCTACCTTTGCTTTTAATTGTATATTTTTATGTAACTTGTCTGTTCATATACTTCACCTTTAAGTAAAGTACCTTTGCTTTTTAAGTTTTTGTATTTGTCTGGTACATTTGGGTGAGCTGTTTATATTATTTTTATATTTAATGTGAATGTCTTCCAAGATTTGTTATTTGCCTTTAGTATTATTCATTTTCCGATAGATCTCTTTGTTAAATTTATGGAAAATCTCTCTTGTTCATGACGTCTAACATTGCTTGAAAATTTAGAATGTCTTTGTCAGCTAGAGGGTTGATAAATATGTAATACTTTATTAGACATTTTGTACTTCCAAAAAGTACATATGTAACGCATTTACAGATATTTTTGTCCTTCCACAAAAATTTGAGATGTAAAATCAGACTTACTTGTATTATATAACTTAACCAAAACCAAAGTTCACTAATGATTCAAATGATACAAGAAAAATTAGGCAAAGATGTAGCATTTCTTCTTCAAGAAGATGAGATCTGTCAGACACATCTTCCAAATTGTTCTTTTCTCCCGCCCTAGGATTCCTTTTAGTTTTGAATTAACAGGTGCGTTTTTAAATTTTTATTGTGTATATTTAAGATGTACAACATGATGTTTTGATATACATATACATAGTGAAATGATTTCTATAGTCAAGCAAATTAACATATCCGTCATATCCATCATCCCACACAGTTACATTTTTTGGTGGCAAAATTACTTAAAATCTGCTCTCTTAGGAAATTTCCAGTACACAATATAATATAATTAACATTAGTCCTCATGCTGTTTATTAGATCAGTTTGAATGACATTTCTATAAACCTTGTTCCCAAAGAATGCCATTTTTGTTTGATGCTCCTTATTTTTGTACTCTTAATAGTTACATAGATACAAAATGCCTATATGATAAATTTCTACTCCTTGTCATCCATGCTCCATAAATTCATAAATTCTATGTATTTTTGATAAGCTCTCTAGGCAGATATGTCAAAGGCCTTCTTCTTATAAGTCCACTGTGAACACCATTTCAATGTTAACAAAAAACTCTGATCAAGTCCATCATTAACTCCAAGGGAGTTAATTTTTTGAGAATTTTCATGTCTGAAAGTATCATTTTTCCTCCCACATTTGAATGATATAATTCGATTGAATATATAATTTTGTATTCAAATAATTTTTCTTCAAAATTTTGAAACTATGGTTATTGTCTTCTATCTTCTCTTGTATTTAGAAATCTGTTATTTTTCTTCTATATCCATTATATGCTACTCAGTGTTTCCTCTTTGAAGCTTTTAGAAACGTCTCTTTTCTCCTGGTGTTCCATTATTTTATACTGGTGACTTTCATGTGAATCTGTCATCATATATATATATGATTATATATATGTGATTATATATATATGATTATATATATATGATTATATATATGATTATATATATGTGATTATATATATATGATTATATATATACACATAAATATATATTTAGGGGATACAAATGCAGATGTCTTACATGCATATGTTGCATGGTGGTGAAGTCTAGGCTTTAAGGGTACCCATCATCCAAATAGTGAGCACTGTAGCCAGTAGGTAAGTTTTCAACCCTCGCCATCTCACACCATCCCACCTTTTGTAATCTCCAATGTCTATTACTCCATGGGGTATGTCCATGTGTCTCCATCGTTTACCTCCCACTTAAAAGTAAGAACATGCAGTATTTGACTCTGTTTCTGAGTGATTGCATTGAGGATAATGGCTTCCACTTTCATCCATGTTGCTGCAAAATACATGATTTCATTCTTTTTTATGGCTGAGTACTATTCCATGGTGTGCGTGTATGTGTGTGTGTGTGTGCATGCATGTGTGCATATGTGTGTATCACATTTTCTTTATCCAACATGTGCAGGTGTCTTTCTGATGTCATGATTTCTTTCTTTTTGGGTTTATGCCCAGTAGTGGGATGGCTAGATCAAATGGTAGTGCAATTTTTAGTTCTTTGGGAAATCTCCACACTATTTCCATAAATGTTGTACTAACTTATATTCCCATCAACAGTATATAAGTGTTCACTTTTTTTCCATAGCCTCACTAACATCTGTTGTTTTTTTAGTTTTTAATAGTAGCCTTTCTGACTAGTGTAAGATAGTATCTCATTGTGGTTTTAATTTGCACCTCGCTGATAATTAGTGATGTTGAAATGTTTTTCATGTTTGTTGGCTGCATGTTTGTCTTTTTTTGAGAAGTTTCTGTTCATGTCCTTTGCCCACTTTTTAATGGGGTTATTTGTTTTGTTCTTCTTGATTTGTTAAGTTCTTTACAGATTCTGGATATTAGTCCTTTGTCAGATGCATAGTTAATATTTTCTCCCATTTTGTATGTTGTCTGTTTATTCTTTCTCTTGTTTATTTTGCTGTTCAGAGGCTTTGTAGTTACAATAAGTCCCATTTGTCCATTTTTATTTTTGTTGTTTTTGGTTTTGAGGACTTGGTTATGAATTCTTTGCCTGGGTCCATGTCTGGAAGAGCTTCTTCTATGTTTTCTTGTAGGATCATTATAGATTATGGTTTTATATTTAGGTCTTTAATCCATTTTTAATTAATTTTTGTATATGGTGAGAGGTATGGGTCCAGTTTCATTATTCTGATATGAATTTTAGGATTGTTTTTTCTAATTCTGCGAAAAATGACATTGGTACTTTGATAGAAATTGTGTTGAATCTCTAGATTGCTTTGGGCAGTATGGCCATTTGATGATAATTGATTCTTCTAATCTGTAAGCATTAAATGTTTTCCCATTTGTTGTGTCATCTGTGTTTTCTTTCATCAGTGTTTTGTAGCTCTCCTTATAGATATCTTTTACTTCCTTGGTTAGTATTTTATTTATTTTTAAGCTATCGTAAATGAGATTGCTGTCATTATTTGATCCTCAGCTAGATTATTGTTTGTATATAGAAACACTACTGATTTTTGTATATTAATTTTGTATGCTGAATCTTTACAGAATTCATTTATCAAATCTCAGAGGTTTTTAGTAGAGTCTTTAAAGGATGTCAGATTTTATCAATGAGCAGGGATAGTTTGACTTCCTCTTTTTCAGTTTGGGTGCCTTTTATTTATTTATTTATTTCTCTTGCTTCATTGCTTTGGTAAGGACTCCAGTACTATGTGGAATAGGAGTGTGAAAGCTGGCATCCTTGTCTTGTTCCAGTTCTTACAGGAAATAGTTTTAGGATGATTGGTATAATTCTTTGTATGTTTGGTAGAATTCAGCTATGAATACACTGGTCCTGGGCTCTTTTGGGTGGTAGATTTCTTTTTTAAATTACTGATTCAATGTCTTTACTCATTATTGGTCTGTTCAGGAGTTTTATTTTTTCCTGGTTCAATCTTAGAGATTGTATGTTTCCAGGAATTTGTCCATTTCCTCTAGATTTTCTAGTTTGTGAGTGTACAGTTGCTCATAATAGTCTCTGATGATCTTTTGCATGTCTGTCATATTAGTTGTAATGTATCTGTTTTCATATCTGATTGTGTCTATTTGAATCTTCTCCCTTCTTTGTTAGTCTGGCTGGTATAATAGCTTATCCGTTTTTTAAACACTTTCTGAGAACCAGCTTTTCTTTTTGTTAATCCTTTTTGTTGTTTTTTAGTTTCTATTTCATTTAGCTCTGCTCTGATCTTTATTTCTTTTCTTCTGCTAATTTTGGCTTTGGTTTGTTCTTGTTTTCCTAGTTCCTTAAGGTGTAAAATTAGGTTATTTGTGATCTTTCTTCTTTTTTGATTTAGGCACTTAATGCTGCAAACTTCCCTCTTAGCAATGCTTTTGCTATAACCCACAGGTTTTGATCTTCACTATTGTGTTCCATTTTTGTGTTCTTTCAAATGGGGAACTCATGTCCTTTAGTTCTACAAAGCATTCATAAATTATTTCCTGAAAATTTTCAATCATCGTTTTCTATATTCTCAGATTACTATTGGTTGGATTTTATACTTTATGGATTATGTCATATATGTGTATATATATGCGTATATATATTTATTTATTATCTTAGGCAGTCTCTCTTATTGCCATTTTCCTCATCTTTTTATTGAATTTCCCAATATTTTTCTTACTTGACTTTTCTAAATCTTAAAATCTTATTTTGGCAGTTTTAAATTAGCAAGAGTTCTTAGTATTTACTAATTATTTATTTATAGCCTGTTATTTTTGGAAAATAATACCTTTTATTTCTAATTATAATATGATTTCATTGACTTTTTTCTGTTGACTACATTTTCACTACTTTTACTGAATTATTTCTTCCTTTATGTCTCTCTTTCATGTTGAATAGTTCTTTAATATCTATTGACCCTTGCCTGTTTGCTCATGTTTATTAATACCTCTCAAAAGGCTGGCTTTATCATTAAATATTATATCACTGTCTGGCAATCAGGATACTAATGAATGTTTTAATTTTAGGAAGTATGTCTGGGAAATTAGTCTGTGATCTTTAATCTTAGGTGGTTTGGTTTCTTCAGAAAATGATTCTATAAAAATTTGTGATAGGCAGAGTATAACTTATTTGTTTTAATGAAATAAGGCTCTCTAAATGGTGAAGTAATATGCCAGAACAATGCTTTGTTTTTAAAGTTATAGTCAACATATTATTTTCACTGGTTATTCCTAGATGCCAATTTGTAAATGGAAATACAATATTACATGTGCCACTTTTTTATATATCTGTGGTAACATTGTCTCTTTTAGGATTTCACATGACAGGTTTTGGGAGTAACACAAGGATGAACACTATCCATAACTTTCTCCTATCCCACATGTCCTGGCCCCCTGTCAAATCATCCATTAATTCCAGTGGCATAATAAAAACACGTGTAAGATACATACATTTTTAGGATCAGAAATTGTTTTATTTTATTTACTTTTTTTTTCAAAAGCTGGTGATACCCTTTAGTTTTCATTAAGAATTACAAATGTCTTAGAGGTAAGTTTCAAGAAGTATAGGTTTTTTCCAGTAGATTATAATATCTTCTCTAATGCAGTGAGTATTTTTACAGATACCCCTTTTCTTAATCTTCCATAGAATAGCCATTTACTCCCAGAGTTTTCTTGTTTTATCTAGGAAATGTTACATACTATGCCAGCTAAATATTTTCTCTGTATTCCAATAAATTTTCCTTCTGCATTTCTGCTCACTTCTGTGTTGTTCAAACTCTAGTGTGGAGATCATTTTAGCTCTGTTTACTTTTTTCTTAGCTCAATTTCATCTTTTTTATTATCTCAAGGATAATTTTCCTATTTTACTTATAATTCATTACCATTAAAAAAATTCCACAAAAGGGAACTTTGTTAATTCAATAAACCAAGATATTTTAGAAATGTTTTTAAATGTTATTTTATTTTCTGGTTGGGAATATAAAAATATATAGAAACAAATCTTATTTTCTTATTGTTTAGTGTTTTAAAGTATACTAAAAAGTACCTATGGGCTTATATCTGTTGACATTTTATCAGTATATTTATGTTCCTCTCACAGCATTGCAATCACCATTGAACTTATCTAGTACTAAGTTTGTATTTGAAATCCCTTTACATGAGATGAATCCTAATAACAAGGTCACAAAAACTCAGGTATGTATAAAGAAGTGATACAGTTTACAATTCTTTTCATGATTATGAATTCTAGTTTGTTAAGTTGATTATTCATAAGCATGAGTGATATGAACTATTCCCTATGATTAATTTCTCCCCAATTGTTTATGCTCTTCGGAGCAAGAATACCGGCATTTTTTAGAAAACTTACAGATAAAATTTCTCAGGAGTAATTTTCAAAATATACAAATACATATACAGCTATTTATAAATACATATACGCATATAATTAATAAGAATATTAAAATAAGTTTAATATAATTAAATTATTCCATTCTCCTTATACAAATGGAAGCTATGATTTAAATTAATATGAAATATATTCCATAGATAAAAGAAAATATGCTAGGAGGCAATAATAAATCTGAATAATAATAATAATAATAAAGTAGCTTCTCTATTGAGTTACTATTTTTTCTTAAAGGATATCTCTGCCTCTCTTCTAATTAGGAAGGAAAACAGACATGCATAAAAAAGAAGCTCAGCACACATTATAGAAATTTGTATTTGCACTGCCCCTTTTTGTCTTATATATTGCTATACCTGTAACCAATTTTGAACCTTTATAGCATTGAAGAAAAATTATATGGAGAGAATATTTAGCCTTGCATTAATAAAAAAATAGCAGAGTGCTATATAAAATTATAGTTAGAGATCAATAAAGGATCTACTGAAATTAAAATGTGACTGTTTAGAGTATCAAAAGTCAAGAAAACTACTTTGAATAGAACTTCAAGGATACAAAGACCTTATGTGTGGGGCTAGAAAGGCAACTTTAATTAACTGAATTTAATGGATTTCAGATAAAAACAATACCTTCATAAATGTGAGATTATTTTATATCATTGAAATTTTATTCAATCGATGTAAGCAAAGAAGATCTAGACACCAATAGCATTCTCTCTTTTGAGGAGAAAGAGGGACATTGGCCCCATGGAGAAAAAAAAAACGTGACTCTAATCTTCTACTTAAACTTCCCATGAATGATATTTGCAGTCATAATATATAAGATATATGGTACAGAGAAGACGTAATATGTTTATGGAAGGTTAATTTGACTAAAGGTTTAAGGATTTTGGAATAAAGAAATAAAATTCATTTTACATAGTGGGTAATTAAAGGATATTGTCTAAAGTACAGAGAAAAAGAAAAACAAGAGATATATATATTTTGCTTAAAATTACCAAGTTGACTAATGGAAGAATTTTAAAATTTTAAAAAATATGAATATCCAAAATAGGAAAAAAATAGGAAGTGGAGCTGAGTCTTCATTTTTCCTAGTGGGCAGTCAAAAGACAATATCTGAAGCTGATAAACCATAAAATACTCATGCTGCAGGCAGATAATGGCCCCAAAGATGCTTAAGTATTAATCTCCAAAATTTGTGAATACATGACCTTATATCACAAAAGATACTTTGCTGACGTAATTATGGTAAAGGACTCGGAGAAGGGAGGATTTTCCTGAATTATCTAGGTGGCCCCAATCTAATAACATGAGTGGTTAAAAGCAGAGAACCTTTTCTAACTGTGCTCAGAGGGAGATGTGATGACAGAAGGGTCAGAGTGATGCAGTGTTCAACTTAGAGGAAGAAGGCCACCAACTGAGGAATGCAGCTGGCCTCTAGAAACTAGAAAAGGCAATGAAATGGGCTCTTCCCTAGAGCTTTCAGAAAGGAACACAGTTCCTGCTAACACGTTGATCTTAGCCAAATGATATTTGCGTTGGACTTCTAATCTACAGAACTGTGATATATAACAATATATTTGTGTTTTCTTAAGTCCCTATGTTTGTGGTAATCTGTTATGGCAGCAACAGAAAACTAACATAAGCCATATTGGCGTCACATTTAGATAAAAACTCAAATCACAATTGGCTAAAATTGGTTGCTTCTGGGAAGCAGAACTTTTGATGAAGAGGAATTTGGTGGGACAACTGCTTTTAAACAAGCATTTTGAACTTTCTGTGTAAGCTGCATACATATATCATTTTGACAAAAATATAAAGAAAAAATAACACTAAACATACTGAACAAATTAACCAATATTTCTTTATAGATAACTGTATCATTTCATTTCTCAGAATTATAAGATATAGAAGATAGATAGTATTTTGGAAGTATAATAACTTTTCCTCATTTTAAAATGACAAAAATTAAGCTTCAAATGGCTGGTATGATTTTGTGCTCATTTCCTGTATTGAAACATGTTGTTTTCTTTAGAATGTGTAAATTAACCTTTTATAGTTAGGATATACCAATATTAGAGCTAAATAGATGCTTGAGTACTTCAAGGCTTGGGAAAAAAATTGGCTCGTTGTTTATCCTATATGTTTTAAATCAATCATGCTTTAGAAAGAAATGAGGTATGTATTTTGTTGTGCTGATAATTGTATGGCTCATTCTATAGTCTTCAAATATTTGAAGAGTAAAGTTAATGAAAAAACCTGGTTGATAGTTTTATTTTAATAGCAGGTTACATTGGAAAGATGAGTCTGCATGCAAGTCAGGCCCATAATGTTCAGATTTACTAAAATGTTTCAAAGCTAGTGCAGAGAATTTCTGATAGCTTTCACCCAACTTTACCTAACATTACCTTACACTACCATAGGGCATTTTTTTAAAATGAGAAATTAACATTAGTACAACATTATTGACTAAACAACAGACTCTATTCAGAAATCAATGGTTTTTCACTAATGTCCATTTACTGTCCCAGGGTCCAACCAGGATAGCACATTGCATTTAGTCTCATCCAACCTGTGACAGGCTCGCAATCTTGCTTATTTTTTATTATCTTCACGATTTTAAATAGTATTTGTCCAGCATTTTTTGAAAATGTCTTTTAATTTGAGATTGGTGTTTTTCACCTGATTAGACTGAGTTTTTATTTTCCATGGGTTTTGGAGAAGAATGTTACCGAGGTGAAATAATTTTTTTATCACATCATATAAAGGAATACATGATATGAAAATAACTAATTACTGGTGATGTCTGCTAGGTTTCTCCACTGTGAAGTTACTATTTTTCACTTCCCATACTCTATCCTTTGGAAGTGTGTGATCAATTTTAGCCTACAATCAAGTGGTAGGAGGTTAAGCTCTACTTATATATTACATGTATTACTTGGAAATTTTCTTTAAAAAAGATTATTTCCTCTCCCTATTTATTTATTTTATTACATAATATGTTAGCATGAACACACATATATTTATTTTTATACTTTCAGTTATAATTTAATATTACATTTTTTATTTTGTTGCTAAAATTGTTTCTGCTTTGGCCATTATAAGCTCTTCTACGTTGGTCCTTTGACAGGCTCCCATCATTGTGATTTTGAAGTATTTTCTTAGTGGTACTACCAAATGTTCCAGGCTCATCTTTTATTTTACTTGCTCCAGCTCTAAAATCAACATTTCTCCAAGATCCCCTAGTACTTTTTATTGTAGAATGATATTTAGAAACCAAGGTCTAAGTACTGTGTATAAGAGTTGCTACTGCATTGTCACAGGTTCTAGGCCCTTTCAACAATAGAGTCAGGAAATATGTGTATATATACTAATCCACATAGACACATATACCTATAATTATTTATATATGTGTCCCTCTCTCTCTATATATATATATCCATACATCCATCTAACACCAGCTCAGACTGATATCTCTAATCTAGCACCACAATGTCCATTCCCATCTTTCTCTCTTACTCATTTTTGACTAATTTCTCTGACAGTGAGAAATCTGCCTCTCATTTTTTACACTTCATTTACTTATTTTTTAATCCTAACTTCAAATAAAGAAGTTTCAGAATTTCTAACCTGTGGCCTATTAAAATTGCTGACACGTTTATCACCTAGAGTACATTATTCATACACAATTCTTACTCTTTAGCCTTGTAGCTTTCAGTCAAAAACACAGTTTTTCAAAGTTACTGACGTCAATTTCTCCCTACCCTAACTACATTCAATGAGGTTATTTCACACATTTGTAAGACAGTGTATCAACATTCCAAGATGGATTACAGACTGTGATGCACTGTATTACAGCTGGGTTGCTTGTTTTTGATTTACATACATTTAAGTTTACATAAGATCTTTGGGTTTTGAAAAATGCATGGAATAATGTGTCTACCACTTCAATGCCATAGAGAACAGTTTCATCAGACTAAAAACCCCTTTGTTTGTCTAATATCATTTTAAAGCATTTTATCTATGATTAATCATTTGAATTTATACATAGGCTCATCAAATTGAGATGGTAATACAACTAAACTTTAGATTGCATGCTATAATTTTAAACTTTTTTTGTCTTTTTGTGTGTGTGAGCAGAATCTTGTTTTATATAATATTACCAAACACCATGTGACATGGACTTTGGATCTTAGTAATACTGGCAAACTTTTCAAAGACGGCACATTCAAGTTCAGTGTACTGAATGGGATTCTACGACCAAATGAAAAGTATAATGTTTCCATAAGTTTCTGTCCAAGTAAGATATTTTCTCCTATATTTGTAGTTATACTTTCAATTTACCCTTCATATATGAAATTGTTTTATTATGTATACAGAAATTTAGATTATTTGTTATTTCTTTTAATTTGAATAATTATAAATAATACAATTTTATTAATCTCATTTTTGAATGTTACATTATTTAATTGACAAAGTTGGTATATATTCAAGGTGTACAATGTGAGGATTTGATGTATGTATACATTGTGTAATGATTGCCACAATGAAATTACTTAACATATCCATCATCACCCATGTTGTACATTAGATCCCCAGAAACTTGTTCATCTTATAACTGAAAGTTTGTACCCTTTGATCAACGTCTCCCCATTTCCCCCACTCCCAAGCCCCTAGAAGACAATGCCCTACACTCTGCTTCCATGAGTTTGACTTTTTAGATTTCATATGAGTGAGATTATACAGTAATTGTCTTTCAGTGTCTGACTTATTTTACTTACAATAATGTCCTCTAGGTTCAATCATTTTTTTTTTTTGGAAAGGGCAGGATTTTCTTCTTTTGTATGAACGAATAATAGTCTATTGTGTACATACATCACAATTTCTTTATCCACTCATCCATCAATGGACACTTTTATAATCTGGCTATTGTGAATATTGCTGCAATAAACATAGGAGTGCAGATATCTGAGATACTGATTTCATTTCCTTTGAGATTACTGGATCATATGGTAGTTCTATTTTTAATTTTTTGAGGAACGTTCTCAGAATTCTGCTTATCACATTCAGCCACTATAGTGCAATGTAATCTGTTTTTCATTTTATTAGACTTATAAAATACCCAAATTCCGAGGACACTAAGTTTTACACATGTGGTAATCTAGATAAAATACCCACAACTGGCTCAGTTATCAGTAGAAGTTCAGGCAGGGTAAGAATCTATTATAGCTTTAAAGCTTATTAGAGAGTTCATTGAAGTGTGCTCTCTCTCTCTCAATAATATTCTATTAGCACTGTGTTGCATTAAGTTGATGTTCTACTATATCTATTAGCATGGCATTGTATAATCATTTTAGCTTTGTGTGTGAGAAACATCTCATAGCATATTATGATTAGTAGGCTTAAAAATGTTTAATCTTTTTATTACCTCTCTTTAAATCTCTGAAAATATGATAGAAAATACCAACTATTCTTTGCATTCTGAAATTTGTTTAGTAAAAATAATTGTTTTATTATGTATTTCTCTAGTTTCATCTCCATTTCTTCCATATTCTGGTTTGAAAGAAATAGCACAAAGGCTATTCCAGCTGAACCTACCATCCATTTTTCTGTTCAGAACTTCTCCTTTATGTGCCTGTCGACATTTATACTCAGATAAAATGGACTGGACTGGTCCATCTAGAAGGAAATAAAAAACATTTCCATTTGACTTTTCTTTCAATATGCGCTGGGCCCTAGCAGTCATATCTGTCGTTTCTTTTATTAGGCTCCCAACTTTACTCTTTGTTGTTGTTGTTGTTGTTGTTGTTGTTGTTGTTGTTGTTGGAGATGGAGTCTCGCCCTGTCGCCCAGGCTGGAGTGCAGTGGTGCGATCTCAGCTCACTGCAACATTTACTTCCCAGGTTCAAACGATTATTCTGCCTCAGGCTCCCGAGTAGCTGGGACTAGAGGCGCACTCCACCATGCCTGGCTAATACAACCTAACTCTTAAGAATCAAACATGCTTAAAATGCCTTTATAAATTACATCTCAGATGAGAGAGAAAACACTCTCAGCTTAAAAAGGGTATGATTGAATCTCCAATAGTCTGAAGTTATACAAAGAATCCCCTTCTCTATCACCCTAGAACCCTTTAAGAGGTCTGAAATTCTGAAATAATCTCAAAGTAGGCCTTTCAAAATCCAGAATTCAATAAATCTTAAAACCTTCCCTAACTCTGAAATTATTTTTTCTCCCCAAAACAAATTTAACCATATCAAATTTATGAAATGAAACCATTATTTCCCTATAGATTTGTAATGTTTTAAATACATACATTCTCTTATAGCTTATTTTATCAGCTCAAAGTATACATAATTTATTTAAATTTTTCACATAGTCTTTCCAGTACTCATTTGTCATTATTAGTAGGGAGCCCATTATTTTTCTATTCCTCCTCTCCTTTCTTCTCCAGCTGCCTCCCTTTTTCCAAGAACACTAGACTACTTACTTGATCAGGTAAAGGGCTTATTTGATTAAGTAATGGCCTTCAGTACAGAGAGCACTAGTATGGCTGATGATTTCAATGAGTTCATTGCTTTTGCTTCTAGCACTAAGTGCCACTTTTGAACATGGTCTTGCATCACCCAGTGCACTGTCATTTTCTGCTCTGAAGATACCCTTGATGGCCCCAATCTTTGCTAAGGGGCACTGGTGTCCCATTTGAGGGTTCTAAGATATCAGCTTGAAATCACAATCACTGGGTCACTCTTTTCTCTCTATCACACACTATTCTTGGAGATTTCGATGTGAAAGGGTATTGATCACTCTCTGTGATGGAAACTGTCCCCAGAAACTAGCTTTCAGCTTCCCGTGTTGAGCCCTGCTCTCTAACACAAACTATCTTTTCTCTTATTAAGCTATGGCATGGGAATTTCCTGTCCTTTCCTACCAGGTAAAATTGGCCAGTCAACCCTGGTAGTATTTCTTAAACTTAAAAATTTGGGATACAGCACATTCCTTTCATCTCAGGACCTCCTTTTCTCAGTAGTCCCCTGGGATCCTTATGGCAATGATCTATCCTCATCTTCATACTGCATATTTTAAAGGCCTGGGAAGCTTCTATTAAAACACAGAAAATACTTTTTTAAATGTTCAATTGCACTGCTTTCCCAGGGCATATTTATTTTCTCCAAATTATGAAAATCTACATTAAAGAGACTTGCTCCATTTCTAGTCAAGCTGTACTTTAAAATAGTTTTCTTTCAACAGCACCTCATTACATGTCTTAAGTTCTTCAGCAAGCTAAATCTTGTTTCTGGGTAGTTTATTCTGTCCCATTAAGTTGTAACATCATCGTACATTTTGAAATTTAGTAATAGTTCAGCTATGTAAATTTTTTGTGTGTTTTAACTAATTTAAAATACCCTTAAAATTTGTTTTTCATTAGATCGTCCTGGGACATACACAGCAGATATTCCTATGCTTTTAAATTATATTCCAGTTTGCTATAAAATATTACATCTTACTGGGGAAGTAAAATCACCAGAGTTATTGTTTGACCCTCCATTTATATTTTTCACTCCTGTTCCTTTGGATATAACAACTGTAATGGATATCAACATTTTACCTCAAAACTATTTCAGGTAAATACTCAATGTGAATTTACCACATTTTCTTTATGTGCTTTTTTGTTTGTTTCTGTGTTATATAAGAATTATATAAGAATGGCTTGTTTCTATAGTTGGAAAGAACTATTAAAATATTTAACCATACATTAAAATTTAACAAAAAAACCAAAAAATCTTTCTTAATTATCTCACAGTTAGTCATTGAATTTTCTTGTAAATTTTCTTTTGCTGTGTCTCTCTTCATGAAGTAATAAGCAAGCCTAAAAATTCAATATATTAGTTTTCTAGTGCTATGTGAAAAATTATCACAAACGTGGTGCCTTAAAACATGCATTTGATATCTCAAACGACATGAATTTGTTTATTATCTTGCAGTTTCTCTGACTTAGTAGTCCAGCTGTCTTAGCTGCATCCTCTGCTGAGTGTCTCAATAAGCAGAAGTCAAGGTGTTGGCTGCAGTGGCACTTTCACTTGAGGCTCAGTCTTCCTCCAAGCTCTCAAGTTGTTGACAGAATTGATTTCATGGTCCTTATAGAACTAAAGCATCATTTTTTTGCCTAGGGACACTCTCAGTCCACCCTCAAGTCCTAGCCATGTGGTCACATCCTCACAACATGGTGTACAACTAATTCAAGGCCAAAAGTATACCATCTCTCAGACTTCTCTGCTTCTGACTTTCAAACCCTCTTTTGTGATCTCAACTGATTATGTCAGACCCATCCATGATAATTTCCCTCTTGCTTTATTCAAAGTCAATTAATCAGAGACCTTAATTACACCTGAAAAGTCTATAAATATATATAGTGGGAGGCTATGTTGTTTATTGTAGAATGTTTAGCAGCATCCATAGCCTCTATCCAATAGTGTTCCTCCCCATGATATGACAGAAAATATGTATCTCTACACATGGCTACTTGTCTCCTGGGGAGCAAAATCACCCTCAGCTGAAAAGCACCAAAGTGAAATGATAGGAAGAGATATAACAGCATAACCAAAATAAAGCTGGGTAGCAGTATTAATTTCAAATGCAATAACCTCTATAGGTAAAGTGTGTTTTTAAGATATAAAAGTCATCAAATAATTATAAAAGATTAAATTCACCTGAAAGCCAACTGAATTCTAAAATTCTATGTATAATTAAAATAGTCTTAAAATGTGTCACCTCCAAATTAAAATTGGGAAAATATGACTAGTCCTTCATAACTCTAGGATATTAAAACATGTTTCAGAAGTGTTGATGAGTCCAGAGACAAGATATTTGAACAATATTTGTAACAAGCTTCATTCATTTAACATGTATAAATTGCACGTTACAATTAGAGAATACACATTTTTAAATCAATCATGAGACATTTATAGAAATTGACAATGTATGATTCTATAGTTATAATTCAAGTCTCAAAAATTTTTAAAGGGTTGACATAATATAGACTATGTTCTCCAAAAATAAATATAATAAACTAAAAGTCAATAAAGAAAAGATAACAAGATCCACCATGAGTTAGAAAATGTTAAAAAAATTCTACAGAGTGAAAGAAGAAATTATACTGAATTTCACAAATAAATAATAATTAAAATACTAGATTCCAAATCTTGAAAACATTCACTGAGGATCAGGAGTGTATAATACAATCAAGTACTATAAACACCATGTGGACATTAGAGCTGAAAACTAAACGTAAAACAGCTACTGGGACTTCTACTACTTCCTTTAGAAAAAGAATTAGGCCGGCATCATTGTTTACTTTATCTGTTTTATTAAATAAACATCAAAATTTCAGTGATTGAAGAAAAAACCTTAATAAAGTACAGCAAAATTATCCATACATGGAAATATATAACCTTAAATACTGATATTAGGAAAGAAAAAAATGATTGGAAATTTTAAACATTCAGCTTTATAAGTAAGATTACAAATAATAGCCTCTTAGACTAACTTATGGGGTGTAGAAGGTGAGATAAAATTATACACAGTAGAAATTAAAGGAATATAAAAATATATACAAAACAGAAACTCAGTGGAACCAAGTTTCTTCTTTGAAAGAGGAATACAATGGATACTAATACAGTGAAGTTGACAAGGAACAAAACAGAGAAGGGACAGTTAAATAATATTAGAAATAAGGAAGCATAACCATAAATCCAAAGAAAAAAATGAGATAATCAAAATACTATAAAGAGGTCTATTCTAATACATGTGAAAACTTAAATATGAAAGTTGTAGAAGTATATAATTTACTAAAAATATACTGGGAATAAGTAGAAAGCCTTTGGGTTAATACTTGAAACTTCACGAGAAAACATCCTCTGATGATTTTACAGTCAAGTTTTACTGAACTTTCAGGAAACAGATATATCAAACTATAGAATAATAATAATGCGGCCTAATTTGTTTTATGATCTCAGAAATTTCTATTATGAAGTCAGGAAATGACAGTATAGAAAAGCTGAATTATTGGCTAAACTGTGTTATGAGAACATACATATAATTATCCTTAAAGAATCTACCAGCACTTTGGGAGGCCGAGGCGGGCGGATCACGAGGTCACAAGATCGAGACCATTTTGGCTAACATGGTGAAACCCCATCTCTACTAAAAATATTAAAAATAATTAGCCGGGCATGGTGGCACATGCCTGTAATGCCAGCTACTTGGGAGGCTGAGGCCGGAGAATCTCTTGAACCTGGGCGGCAGAGGTTGCAGTGAGCCGAAATTGCGCCACTGCACTCCAGCCTGGGCAACAGAGCAAGACTCCATCTCAAAAAAAAAAAAAAAAAAAAGAATCAAACAACGTGTATGTAAGATAGATCATGACCAACTTGTTTGTATTCCAGTATTTCAAGGCTTGTCTATCATCAAAAAATCTAAAATGTCATTAAAGAGAATAATGATATGATCATTTTCATAGACTGAGAATAAAGGTATGTGATATAATTTTTAAATCATTCATGGAAAAACTCTCAACAAACAGTAATAAAATAGATATTCTTTAATTGTTTAAGGTTCCTATCATAAGCCTAGAGCAAATATTATTGAAACTGGAATATACATGAATTACCTTTTAACAAGAGAAAAGTCAACAATGCTTATTATCACTGCTTCCCTAAAGCATTTTAATAGAGAACCTAGCACATGGCAGGGGGATAAGAAAAACAAAATGTATAAGGATTAGGAAATAAAACTCAAAACTGTCATTATCTGTATATTAGATTATTTTTTCATATAGAAAATTCAAAGAATCTACAAGGAGATTTTTTAAAACTGGGAAGATCACTTATCAAAATAGGCAAATATAACTTAAATACTTAAAATTCAATATAATTTCAGCATATAATATATAGAGCACACAACTTTAAATTACTACTTATAATAACATCAAAAATTAAAAGATAATAGATTAAAAGATAATAGATAAATATAATAGATAAAGATATGAATGAGCTGTATAGAACTGTATAAAGAAAATTATAAAACTCAAGTTAAATACGCCTGTATTCAAATAAATAAATAATAAACTCAAATAAATACACCGATATTCATGGATTGGAATATTCGATGCTGTAAAAAAAGTTTTCCACAAATAAATTTACATATTTCATGTGACTTCAATAAAAATTCAACTAAAGTTTTCATGGAGATTGAAAAGTAAAATTTTAATTTTATATGGAAGGGTCAAGGATCAAGAACAGCTAAGCTCCCCAAGAGGAAGAAGAATAAGATGGGAAGTGCTTTCCATAGGGAACCTCAAGACTACACCAATATGATAGTGGTACAGGGGTAGATAAAATGACCAAGGAATAAAATAGCCTTAAAAAAGTTTCATAGATGAATAGTTATTGGATTTATGATGAAGATGTTATTGAAGTTCTTTGGAGATAGAAAGTTATTATTCAGTAAATGATGGAATGATTGAATATCTGTATGAAATATTCCAAATTGTATTGTATCTCTGCTTCACACAATTCACAAAAATTCATTACAAATGTATTAAAAGCTTAAATATGAAAGGCCAAATGTAGAAACTAAGTATTAAAAACATTTAAGTATTAATATATACAAATATATATAGTTGTATTAAAAACAAATAAGTATTAAAAACATTTAAGTCTCATGTCCTTTTAACATTTCAAAAGCAATCATGTCTTCCTGACAGTCTCCCAAAGTCTTAACTCATTCCAGCATTAACTCAAAAGTCCAAGTCCAAAGTCTCATCTGAGACAAGGTAAGTCCCTTCCACATATGAGCCTGTAAAATCTAAGACAAGATAGTCACTTCCAAGATACAATGAGGGTACAAGCACAGGGTAAATGTCCATATTCCAAATAGGAGAAATTGGCCAAAACAAAGGGGCCACAGGCCCCATGCAAGTCTGAAACCTAGCATGGCAGTCAAATCTTAAAGCTCCAAAATGATCTCCTTTGACTCTATGTCTCACATCCAAGGCATGCTGATGCAAAGGGTGGGCTCCCACACCCTTGGCCAGCTCTGTCCCTATGGCTCTGGAGGGTACAGCTGTTGTGGCTGCCTTCACAAGCTGATGTTGAGTGCAGGCAACTTTTCTAGGCACATGGTGCAAGCTGTTGGTGGTTCTACCTTTCTGGGGTCTGCAGGATGGTGGCCCTCTTATAGCTCAACTAGGCAGTGTTCCAGTGGAGACTCTGTGTGGCACATACAACCCTACATTTCCCTTCTGCACTGCTCTAGCAGAGGTTCTCCATGAGGACTCTGCCCCTGTAGCAGACTTTGGCCTGGACATCCAGGTGTTTCCATACATCCTCTGAAATCTAGGCAGAGGTTCCCAAAGCTCAACTCTTGTCTTCTGTGCACCTGCAGGCCCAACACGATGTGGAAGCCACCAAGGCTTGGGGTTTGCATTTTCTGAAGCAATGAGCTGAGCTGTACCTTGGCCCCTTTTAGCCACAGCTAGAGCTGGAGCGTCTGGGACACAGGGTACCAAGCCCTGAAGCTTCACAGAGCAGCAGGGCTCTGGGCACAGCCCAAAAAGCCATTTTTCCCTCCTAGGCCTCTGGCCCTGTGATGGGAGGGGCTGTTATGAAGATCTATGACATGCCCTGCAGACATTTTCCCCATTGTCTTGGCTCCTCATTATTTATGCAAATGTCTGCAGCTGGCTTGAATTCCTCTTCAGAAAAATGCTGTCTTCTTTTCTACCACATGGTCAGGCTGCAAATTTTCGAAACCTTTATGCTCTTATTCCCTTTGAAACATTAGTTCCAATTTCAAACCATCTCTTCGTGTATGCATACAACTGAATGCTTTCAGAATAAGCCTGGTTAAAACTTGAATGCTTTGCTGCTTAGAAATTTATTTGACCAGATACCCTAAATTATCTCCATCAAGTTCAAATTTCCACAGATCTCTAGGGCAAGGGCGACATGCCACCAGTCTCTTTGCTAAAGCATAGCATGAGTGACTTTTACTCCAGCTCCCAATAAGTTCCTCATCTCTATCTGAGACCACTTCAGCCTGGACTTCATTGTCCACATCACTATCATCATTTTGGTCAAAACCATTCAACAAGACTCTAGAAAGTTCCAAATTTTCACTCATCTTCCTGTCTTCTTCTGAGCCCTCCAAACTGTTTCAAACTCTGCCAGTTACCCAGTTCCAAAGTCACTTCCACATTCTCAGGTATCTTACAGCAATGCCCCACTACCTTAGTACCAATTCTATTATTTTTTATTTCTTTTTCAGATTGTTATCTGTTGGCATGTAGAAATGCTACTGATTTTTTATGTTTATTTTGTACCCTGCAACTTTACTGAATTGATCAGTTCTAATAGTTTTCTTGCAGAGTCTTTTTCAAATATAAGCTCATATAATCTACAAACAAGGATATTGTACTTCTTCCTTTCCAACTTGGATGCCCTTTATATCTTTCTCTTGTCTGATTGCTCTATCTAGAAATTCCATTACTATGTTGAATGACAGTAGTGAAAGTGAGCATCCTTGTTGTGTTCTAAATCTTAGAAGACATTTTTCAGTTTTTCTCTATTCTATGTGATATTAGCTGTTGGTCTGTCATACATCACTTTTATCATGCTGAGGTATGTTTCTCCTGTCCCCAGTGTTTTGAGGGTTTTTGTCCTGAAGGGGTAATGAAATTTATCAACTTGGTGTTCTACTCCGCTGTGGCTGTGCTGGTACCTCAGGTGCAAGACAAAGTCTCCTTTACTTTTTCTTCTGCTTTTCACAAGCAGAACAAGTTTTGCCCCATAGCCACCACAGCTAGTAATGTGCTGAATCTCACCTGAAGCCAGCAAGTCTCAGAGGGTCACCCAAGGCCCTCAATGTAGTACCTGGGTATTGCTGCTGGTTATTCAGGGTCCAAGGGGGCTCTTCAGTTAACAGGTGATGAATGCTGCCAGGACTGAGTACTTACAGACTCCATGGGGCTCGCTCAAAATGTCATTTACTTTGTTAGGTAATGTTCAACATCATCAAAACTTTGGGATTTGCAGTTCCTTTAAGACCTTATCTTATAAATAGACACTAACCTTTGTTGTTTAAACGGGAAATAGTAGTGGCTTCAATTAAATTGTGCTAGAAAGCAGTTTTAAATCAATAATCATTTTCTAATATATGAATTAATCTCTTAATTTTTCAACTTTGGAATTAATGTATAAAGGTATCAATTTAAAAGCTACTTCAACTCAAAAGTTGAGTCTTGCTAAATATGGTATAATGAAATGAATATGAGAGGTACTGAAGAAATAATGTAATGCAGTGTCCAAGTTATACATATGTAATAAAATCAACAGCATTAATCACTTATGCAAAGATAAGTTAATTAGCTAAGTAATAACTGAATTATTTTCAAACTGGATTTATAAATTACTTTCCATGTTTTTATTCAAGGTAGCGTATAGGTTTAACTAATACAATTTTAGATCTTTATTTTTTCTTATTAGCTAAATAGTTCTCATACTGATTAAAATAGCAAGGATATATAATTTCCATTTGATGATACCTCTTATCTGCCATAGATATGTAAGTTTTTACATATATAAGTAAACAAAGTAATATGATTAAATATTTATTGGTCACTAAAAATAATAAGTAGTAATTCAATTTTAAAGTGAATACTATTAATACATATTTTTATATTAAAAATAAACAGTTTGGAATGGCTATAAAAAGTATAAATGTATAATTAAGTATGTCAACATTAAGTGGAATTTTTGAATGGTAATGATTGAAAAACATTCATAATATATGTATATATGCGCTTAATAGTATCCAAATTTTCAAATATCTACCTACATGTATATGCATCTGTTATTATTATTCAGTCTATATGCATTAAGTTTGTACCTATTAAAGTGATAACTTTTGGTAAATTTTCATCAGAATACATTTAAAAACAGTAATTTCTATCATGATGGTGATTAAGAAATATTGTGTTTAATCAGGTGTCACATGTCTTTTTAATCCTTATAGAACAAAAGGAATATTTGATCATCTCAAGTGGTTCTTAGTTATCATCCATCTTATATTGTGATCAGAAAATAAGAGATGATACAAAGATATCTTTAATAATTAGGCACATGATTACAAATATTTCTTATTTTAATTTTC